>NC_000007.14:114021930-114324960 GCF_000001405.40 Homo sapiens | reverse complement strand
TCATGTACTCCATAAATATTAATACATACACCTACTATGTGCCCACAAAAATTAAAAAGAACATTTATCTCCCAAAGGAACTGGATTTTTTAAAAAGAAAATAAAACATATAAATCCCTTTTTGCTCATGAATTTTATAACTTATGACAAAATAAGTACTAGCACTGATAAACAGCAAAGGGGCAATTTTTAAAAATGTAATACGTATTAAAAGGTTCCTAAGCAAATATTCTGATAGAGTATAAAGGTAAAATGATGATATAATAATACCATTTCTGTAGTGAGATTGGTTATTAAATTCCATTCATAGATAGATAACAGTCGCCAATTATTAGGAATAATTATTGGGAATAGGTAATATGTTGAAGACAGGCACATGTCATATGCAACTAGAGAAAAGGGAAAGAATGGAAAACTGTATCTGAGGTTAAAGAGAAAAAAACCTCAATATCAGCAAGCAATAATCTAGCAAGAAGTATAGAAGAGAGAGGCCTGACAAAATATAAACACAAATTTCCTTGAAGAAGTAAAAGTGAGAAAGTTTCAAATGTGCAACAAGACCAGATAAATAAACAGGCTAGCTCAAAGGGAACTGTCAGTATATAGCAGAGGAAAATTAAATGTAAGTTTTTAAAATGAGATTTTCTACAAAGTAGTTATCTGAAATTCTTATGGCATTTATTTTTTAGCTAATAATATGGTATCTGTACATAAAAAGAGACTGGGATATGGTCAAAGAAGTGAAAAAAATAAACACATTTGAAAGAAATATTTTTTTAAAATAAAAGCAAGACATTGTACTGGGAGAATAGGAGGATTTACAATGCTGAATTTAAAGAAAAAAAGGTCCTAGTGACAGAAAATTCCAACAACAGATTCTATGTGTAAAGACTGTGATGAGGCCAGAATCACAATCTCTTGCTTTAAAAGTCAAACATATGGTGACACAGAAAGAATCTTAGTTCCAAAATATTGATAGGCATATGGATTGACAGAATCTTTAAAATAAAAAGAATAAGAGTTCTTCATCTTGAAGAATAACTCCAGCTCTAACACAGAACTTCTAGTTTGAATCTAGAAAGTGATAAAACTTTGGTCTCTACATTTTAGTTATAATAGCTGTGAAGCCACTTGAGACAATAAAATGCTAAAGACAAAATCTAAAAATAACAACAGTATAAGTGTTTTTAGACTGTACTTGTTCCTGGGAGGAAAATTATAAGTACTCTGATGGTATTTCATATTGTTTAAATAAAACCAACTTCCAAGAATACTTAAATGCAATTATTTTCAAATGGCTAATCTATAGGAAAACAATTATTTCTTTTAAAAATGAGTAACTGAATCAAATGACAAATTGGAAAGTATCTCCTTTTCCAATATCGTATTTTTTGGGGGATAAATCATTGTAACTCTGACTTAGAATGATTACCTTTTCCTAGTGAGAAGTCTTTTCAGCAACTCACTCTTTTTGGATATATATGTGTCATACATAAATCTATTAATGCATCCTCCCTCTCTCTTATATTTAAAATAATAGATATTAAATTCATTTTTCTGTACTTGTACAACGAATGGATTTCTCTTTGCATAAAACCAATGAGAAAGACAATTTCACAATGTTTAATAGTATGACAAAGGCAATGTACTGCTGTGCTGATTTTAGTCTGGGGCAGATAAACTCAAATTACAGTTTAACCTCCGGTAATAGGAACTATCCCATTCTGAAAATATTTGTTGTAAAATTAAAATAGATAATGGATTGTCATTGTATAAAGAGAGGCTCTGATGTGTTTAAATTCATTCACTGGGGTGTATACCCATAGATGGTAGAAAACATGTCAAAAAATCACATACATAGACATGCCTTGATATATACAAATACCCTATGTAAACTAATGTATGCAGAAGTAAATTTGAATATAAAATATGGAACTAAGAATATTAATGAGTTAGGTATAAATCTGCCAAAGAACTCATGCCTTTCAATACACACAAGTTCTCTGTGACATTGATGACAATAAAATTAATTTTGCTTAAATATAAAATCAAATGAGGAGCAGCCATACAAAACCTAAATCTCCCTCACACGCAAACACACATAAATATCAACCAACAAAATACGTGTATATAAACACAAAATCAATTTGGTATACAAAATATCACAACACAACTTAATTTACAGTAAACACATTTGACACTAACAAATGTGACTACTAGGTTTGTATGAGATAAAGTACCACATTTTTTTAGAATGTGGACTCTAGCCTTAGAAAAATCTGGTTTCAAATACATGCTTCACCAGTTAAAATGTGTACATTTTACTTAACCTCTCTGTCTCAGTTTCCTTGTCTGCAAAATTGAAAAAAATGTCTACTATAGTAATTGTGAAGATTTAATGGAACTATATGTGCTTTAATGCTGTGCATCTGTATATGGCAGGGGAAAATTAAATGTAAGTATTTGTTTTATTTATATTAATGTTTTGTAGAGATAAAGTCTCACTATGTTGCCCAGGCTGGCCTCAAGCAGTCCTCCTGCCTTGGCCTCCCAAAGTGCAGGGACTGCAAGCATGAGCCACCACACCCAGCTTAAATGTAAAATTTTTAAAATGAGCTTTCATATAAAGCAATTATCTGTCAGGGTATGGTGGCTCATGCCTGTAATCCCAGCACTTGGGGAGGCCAAGGCAGGAGGACTGCTTGAGTCTAGGAGTGTGACAGCAGCCTGAGCAATAATATAGTGAGACTCTATCACTACAAAAGAAAATATTAGCTGGGCATGGTGGCATGTACCTGTAATTCCAGTTACTCAGAAGGCTAAGGCAGGGGGATTGCTTGAGCCCAGGAGGTCTAGGCTATAGTGAGCTATGATGGCACCCACTGCACTCCAGCCTGGGTGACAGAGCCAGACCCTATCTCAAAAAAAAAAAAAAAAAGGAATCCTCTGAAATTCTCACGGCATTTATTTTTGGCTAATAATAAAATCATCAACAGAGCATAGAAAAATTGCATGAGCTTTGGAGATAAGAAGGTCTACAAATTAAGCTTGGCTTTCTCTATTTAATAGCTATGGACAAATTCTTAGTCTAAGCTTTCTCATATACAAACTGTAAATAAAAGTATTTACTTTGAAAATGTTTTTGGAAATTTAAAATGAAATAATGCAAACCAAAAATGTACCTGGACTGGATGCTCAATAAATTTGATTCTGTTTCAAGTACATGTCATGGAGACTCTACCAGCTTGCAAAAACATCCTGAATTAAAATTATAAAATGCATAAAATTATATATTCCTGTATTATCCACTGTGCCTTATACACACGTTTGCTACAAAAGGAAGTAGAGAATAATGCCTTGGGATTATGAGATGCTGCTCTAAACAATTGTTTGTAGCAGATTTCCTGGTAAAGTAGAATGGGAACTATTTTTAATGAGACAACTTTATTTAAAAGTTACTAGAGGCCAGGCCAGGTGGCTCACACCTGTAATCCCAGCACTTTGGGAGGCTGAGGCAGGCAGACCACGAGGTCAGGAGAAAAAGACCATCCTGGCTAACACAGTGAAACCCCGTCTCTACTAAAAATACAAAAAATTAGCCGGGCGTGGTGGCGGGCACTTGTAGTCCCAGCTACTCGAGAGGCTGAGGCAGGAGAATGGCGTGAACCCAGGAGGCAGAGGTTGCAGTGAGCCAAGATAGCACCACTGCACTCCAGCCTGGGCAACAGAGCAAGACTCTGTCTCATAAATAAATAAATAAATAAATAAATAAATAAATAAATAAAGTTACTAGATATTCATGGTTGCAGAATAGCGAGGCTCCTTGTTACCTAACTCTCCTTCTAAAACTTTTTCTGAGGGAAGGGGAAGGAGGCTGTCAGAATATCCCTTTTGCCACACAAATATGGAAAAAATCATCTTTCCTTGTCTGGAAAAGTTCAAACAACGGTGAAATAATCCAAAGCAAATTATTTCCCGTAGAATTTTTAATTTTATATTTAATAAAGTAAACGTTGCCTTAGGAGCACAGGAACCTCTAGGAGGTGGAAATCTTTAGCTTATTGATGAAGGTAGGGCTTGCCCTTCCTCCTTTCTTCCACAGGTCTTCTGTCTTTGGTAGTCTTCAAGTTTGCCAGGAGCTAAAAATGTTCTGTTTTCTTAGGGTGAAGTTGAGAAGGTTGTCCCTCTGCAGGGAGGGGCCGTATATTTTGTGTAAGTCTCACAAGATTGGTCAAGGTAACTTAAGAACAGAGACTGGAAGATGCAACATGCAGCTATGAAGACAGACTTGTGGAACAGTTAAGTTGAGCACTCATGAGAGACTCTGAGAATGACTCCTCAAATATTCTGAAGATACATAAGTCCTATCTGCCACACAGGACAGAGTGACTGAATAACTAGAATGTTTTAGATCCCTGTGAATCAGTATTGAATGTGGTGCCAGAATATAAAAATAAACAAAGAAGTTACAATATAGTGACATGGGAGCAGGGAAATATAACAAACAAACAAACACGTAATTAAGTAACTTGAACAATGAGTAGTTGTATGGTAGAGGTATAATACATAAAATACCTTAAGAACACAGAGGTGGTAGGGCTGAATTATACCTGGAAGACTTCAAAACAGAGTTGGCTTTTTAAAGCAGGGTTTTGAAAGTTGAAGTGATAAAGAGAAAACTGAGGCAAGAGGCCAGTTCTTCTGGGTATCAAAAATAAATACATATTCTTGGACTGGCATGATGTATTCAGGAAGTGATGGGTAGTCCAGTGCAAGCAGTATACAGCCAACAAATCAGAGGTGACCTAACTGAAAATAAAGGGAGCAGAGTGCTGGGAAATGGTGGCTTTAAAAAGCATATATTATGAGTATATATGGGAATGATCCCACCTCATTCTTCTACTGAACAGGAAGAAACAGGATGCTTTATCTAGAATTCCAGTATGACTCCAAATCTGAAATCCGCATCAGTGATGGAAACAATGAGTAGATTTCCCAGGGACCTGAATATTAAAGATTTCACTTTTAGACTCTGCAATGTAGTAAGTTAGCAAATAATTATAAAAACAGAATTCAAAATGTACAAATTGGACTCATCTACATGACAATACCCAATTATAAATCCAAATAAACTAGCAGCCAGCAATCAAAATAACAAATGTCCAGATTTTTCTTTATTGATTTTTCTAGTAAAATGACCATATATTTTGGTAGTTCATATGGTTTGGCTGTGTGTCCCCATCCAAATCTCATCGTGTAGTTCCCATAATTCCCATGTGTTGTGGGAGGGACCCAGTGGGAGGTGACTGATTCATGGGGGTGGGTCTTTCCCATGTTGTTCTTGTGATAGTGAATGGGTCTCAATAGAGCTGATGGTTTTAAAAACAGGAGGTTCTCTGCACACGCTCTCTCTTTGCCTGCTGCCATCCTCATACAATGTGACTTGCTCCTCCTTGCCTTCCGCCATGATTGTGAGGCCACCCCAGCCATGTGGAACTGTAAGTCCAATAAACCTCTTTCTTCTGTAAATTGCCCAGGCTCAAATATGCTTTCTGTGAAAATGGAAAAATACTGTAATACAAAGAGAGTCTTGTTTTTCTATTGTGGTGGTGTTTTTAATTTGTGCCTTCTATCTGAAGAACTGTGGGCTTCCCCAGGAAGCTGAGGAGAACACAAAGGCAGGCTCCCAGAGCCAGAGTGATGGTCAGGCAGGTATAAACAGCACATGAGTCCAGGTAAGAGTCACAAGGACACCTTCCAGTATAAACAAGTTTCCCACGTGAGGGACCCGCCCCCCCAACCCCCCATCACAGGTCCAACAAATAGGCATTAGCCCATTCACCAGGTTAAAAATGTAGCCCAAGCAAGGTCCACTAAACACTAATGTTCTGCTCCCATATTTTCATTAGGGCAGGGTTGCTAGCTAATCTGGTATTGGAACCCCAATTTAACTGGGGGTTCCCAAAATTACTATTTTATTCTATCCACATTTTAAAGATGTAGGTTAGATGTTGTTTTCCTATTACTGGAATATAGAATATAACTACACTAAACTAGAATATTTAATTATTTACAGATATTTTCAGAAGTCAATTTGGCTTACATACATACAACTGGTTTCATTCTGCCTTCTGTCAAACATACAAATAAAGGTAGTATTTATTTGTATGTATGAGTAGCTCTGATCTGCCAGAAAATATGCAAAACATTCCATATGTCTGTGCGTGTGTGTGTATATATATATATATATGAATTATCTAAATCCTCAAAATAGTTGTCTGATATTGGAAAAAATATGGTGATGACAGTGTATTGTTAATACTATTCCTTTAATGTATTTGAGTAACTGCACTGTTTATTGTGAATCATTGTGTTTAAATTCATTTATTAGAAATGTACCTGAAACAGTAATTTTTAAAAAGGATTATTTTAAATATATGTACATTAGTGTGAGGATTTTGTTTTGTTCACTACTACGTCTGTATTCTAGAATAAAGAAGGTCAGATAATAGAAAATGAATATTCTTAAATAATCTGAATTTAAAATAAAAATCATACTCTCCAAAAAAAAAAAAAAAAAACAAAGAGAGACATCATGCTAAGTAGAAAACATACTGTAGCGAAGAAGTACAAAGAATTCTTCTGAATATCTAAATTGGAACTTGAAGAATGGGTAGGATTTAAATGGGTCTAGATCCAGGAGAAGCATTTCCAGAGGAGAAAATAAAACAAAAACAAAACCCTAACTAAAGCCTCTGCATCACTCCGCAAACAGTCCACATTTCAGTGAGCAAAGAAAATTATTAAAATTAGAACAGTAAATTGGAAAATGAGAAAAATTAGAATTTTTTCTAATGAGAAATGAGAAAAATGTGAAAAAATAGGTTAGGATGAGAGTGATTAGTTGATGTGGTACAGAATTGCAAATTTAATTAGGATTGTCAGGGCTGCCCTTATGGTGAAAGTGACAAGCAAAAACTTCAAGGAGCTGATGGGAGTTAGCCATGCAGATAAATGGAGGAAGAGCAACCCAGTCAGAGGGAACAGCTGCTGCAAAGGCCCCGAGGTGGGAGCATACTTAGTGTGTTTAGTGTGTTTAACAAACAGCAAGAAGGCTACTGTGGCAAGACCAGAATGAAGGAGAGGGAGGGTAATAAGATCTGAAATTAGATTGTATACTGTTTTGTAGATCATCTTAAGGATTTTTTATTTTATTTTTAGGAAATGGCAGTAGATCCTGAAGCAAAGGGAGGGAGGGGATGGAGGGTTTTAAATGATGACGTGACATGATTTGAATTTTAAAAGAATCTCTTTAACTGCTGTGCTGAACAAAAACAGACTGCAGGGGATCAATTGTAGACTTAGACTAACTAGAAGCTATGGCAAAATTCTAGGCAGGAGGTGATGGTGGCTTGCATTAAGGTGGCAGATGTGGAGATAGTATGAAGCAACTAAATTGTGTTTATATTTTAGTGCAGCTTCCATTCATTAGTTGATCATAAGACATTAACTAAACATTTATTATGTGCAAAGCACTGCAAGGTTTAAATATTATCCTGTAATTTTAGACTTCCACTGTGTCACTTACCATCCCTACTCTCTCAAATCCACTCATCAAAATAAAGCATCTCTAAGTTATTGGTTTCGATCTATTGCTTATATTCAAACATATCCACTGTTATACCAAGATAAGGTGTGTTATAGCTCCAGTGACTGTCTCTCAACAGGTGATACATTGGGACAACTGCAAGAATTGGGAAAATCACAGAAATCTCACTAGGTACCCAGAATTCCTGGGAAAGATGGAGGACCAGGGGACATGGGTGGAGGGAGTAACAAAACAACTAAAATTTTATTTAGAAGTAATCAGAAACAAATAGCTGAAAATCCTACTTTCACTTCCCCAGGAAAAGTTAAACCAAAGTTTCAGCAGACACTGCAAGTCCTTGTCCTAATATTGAAACTTAAACTGGAGCAGGTGATTCTGGGTAAGTTTTTGTATGGACCCAGAAGTTGCCCTGAAGTAGGGATTAAGTACCTCAATCACTTGTTAATAACAAAATCGTGTTTATATCATTCACAAGGCAATTCATGTCTTTAGAGGAGAAAGAATTTAAAAAAAAAATTAGAAAGTTTTTTATAAAAGAGATTTTGGGTATCATGGGCTTATGTCCTAAAGACTCTATAATACTTTCTAACTTTCTGACCTCATCTCCTAAAATCCTAGCCCTCTCTGAGCAACGCTTTAAACATGAAACTCTCCTAGGCTTTTGCATTTGCAGTTTCCTCTCTTGGGAATGCTCTTCTCTCATATCTACAGGGCTCACTCCTTTGTCTCCTTCAGGTCCCTACTATAAAGCCACCATACGAGTTAGGTCTTCCTCACCCACTTTATGTAAAAAAGTTCCATCAATGTCAGTCTGTATTTTTCTCTTGCTTTTTCTTTATGGTGCATATCATCACTTAGCATATTATTCACTTTTACAAAAATATACTGTATCATCAATGAAAGTAGGGACTATACCTGTTTTGTTGATGACTAAATCTGTAGTGCTGACAACAGTGCCTTTCACACTGTATATGCTCAGTATATATGCTGAATGAATGAACTGGTCGAGAACATTATGTTGGAGAATTAGAGTAATGTATATTTTGATAAAACATTTTCGATAATTATACATGTATGCACAGTTGATCCCTGTTTTCTTGCTGATTCCATATTTGTGAATTCACCTATGTGTTTGTGATTGAAAAAGCAATACAGCACTTTTGTGGCCATTCACAGACATGTACCCAGCAAAAAATTTGAGTTGCCTGACATGCACACACCCAGCTGAAGTTAGACAAGGTGACACTGTCCCTTCCTGTTCCAGTTCTTACTGTAAACAAATGTCTTTTTCACAGTCTATTTAGTGCTGTATCTGTGCTTTTTGTTGGTGATTTCACTGTTTAAAATAGGTCCCAAAAGTAGTACTGAAGTGTTGACTAGTGTTCCTAAGTGTAAAAAGGTTGTGATATGCCCTATGGGGAAAATATGTATGTTAGTTAAATAAGCTTTTCTCAGGCATGAGCTATAGTGACATTGGCTATAGTGAGGCAACAATATATACTAAATACAGTGTTTTTAAAACAGAAATACACGTAACACAAGGTTATATATTGATCAACTGATGGAAATGTTCTGACCAGGGTCTTACAGGAACCTAGCCCTCCCTGTATTCCTCTGAGGAGCAATGGTTCAGTGTTCACTAACTCAGTGTTTGTGGTGACTTCACAGAACATAATTACGGCAAGTAACAAGAATTTACTGTATTTATGTTTGTTTGTGTGTGTGTGTGTGTGTGTGTGTGCATGTATAGTGATTTTCTTTTTTATAATACAAGGGACAGAAAATAAAACTAAAAAAACTTAATAGCTAGTATGGGTGACTAGAACACTCTATCTAGCCCAAAATATAATACTTCATGCAACAGTATGGTCAACATTTACATTCATAACATGGTTTTATCAATTAGAAATGATTGAATAACAGAGGTCTACTGGAATAGAAACCGAGGAGCCTGATAAGTCTAAATTTAAATATTAACTGAACCACTTACTACCTGTATGGGCTTTGGCAGTATTTAAACTTTATGCTCCTCAGACTCCTCTTCTATAATATGGGTACTTGTGAATAATAGATAAATGAGAAAATGTGCCTAATACAATGCCTAAATCATTTTCTTGTTTAATGAACATTAGTTTCCTTCCATTGCCTATTAAATTCCCAGGAAACTTCCTATAAAATTCCCAGAGAGGAAATGTAAACAATTAACCCTCACAGAGTTTGGGAAAAAGCCAACACAAAGACAGTGATGGAACCTGGATTGACATTGTTTAGTGTTACAGAGGCAAAGTATATGCACCTGGCTGACAAAAATACTACCAGATTTTTGTGGCAAATGTTAGAATGCTTAAAGGTGGTGCTTATCGTTTTAGAACCACTTTTTTTTCTTTCAGAAGTAAACAGCAATGCATGAGAAATGTTAAATAGCCATCTATATAATCATTGCACACAGGACACAAAAAGCAGCATTACTTTATCCATTTTATTAATAGTTTTAGTGGAATATGGAGACCATGCCTCACAAAACACACAGCTGTTGATAATAAGGCAGACAACACATTACAAAGAAAATCATTCTCCTGATTTGAGAGACATACCTTATCAATTGCCAATATAGCTTCTTTCCAAATTTATAATGTGGTCACATGTTTACTCATTAATTCAGCAAGTGCTTATTAGGTACCTACTACATACCAACCTGAGGTTAGGTACTAGGAACACAAAGATGAACAAGATAGCCTTAAACTTTCTCAGCCTCAAACTTTCCTTTAGTCAAAAGGTCACAGTTATTTCATATAAGACTATATCTTCATATTAATACAATATCATAGGCTTTTTCATCCAATTGAACTATGTGAAAATTGCTCAGTGGAGATTGTTCAGGTGATTCAGAGCACTGTAGGTCTATGATCCATACACTACCCATGCTGTCTGAAGGAAGCAAAGAGCAAGGGTGCATCTATGACAGCTTACTAAGCAAAAGACAGCTGGGGCAGAGCAAAATGACCAGAAATTTTACCAAACACAGCTTTTTACAGTTATATCTGTCAACAGAAAGGAAACAGTTTCATATATTATATATATTATATATAAAACATAACAATAAAATAATATAAATTATCATATTATATAAAATATAATGCTGTTTCATTACTTATGATAATCTTTCAAACTACCGTGACCATATTCCATAGCAAGAAAAAAATGTAATTAGCACTGAGAACTCAAATACACGTACATAAAAGTTTCACAGGATATTAATCCATAATAGCATGTATTTTCCATTTTATTCTGTTCTTTTCTATTCTTTTTGGTTCTGCTTTCTGTTCTGTTCTATTTATTCTATTACATTACATTTTTAAATATGCTGGTTGCAATCCACTAAATTAATGTATAAACCACTAATGGAGCCAGACTTTCAGTTTGAAAAAATATTGATCAGTTACAACTAGACTCAAGATAAAATGTTGGATTATAATTATCCTAAACATAATACGTACAGGTGATATGTGTTAGAATTATATATCCTTTCTTGTAGTTATTTTTAACATTATACAAAATTATACAATTTCAAATAATGACAATATTTTTGTTTTTTTTTTTTTTTTTTGAGACGGAGTCTCGCTCTGTCGCCCAGGCTGGAGTGCAGTGGCGCAATCTCGGCTCACTGCAAGCTCCGCCTCCCGGGTTCACGCCATTCTCCTGCCTCAGCCTCCCAAGTAGCTGGGACTACAGGCGCCCGCCACTACGCCCGGCTAATTTTTTGTATTTTTAGTAGAGACGGGGTTTCACCGTTTTAGCCGGGATGGTCTCGATCTCCTGACCTCGTGATCCGCCCGCCTCGGCCTCCCAAAGTGCTGGGATTACAGGCGTGAGCCACCGCGCCCGGCCGACAATATTTTTGTTTTACCTTTAATAGATTAACAATTTAGTAAAATGGAAATGTAAGATTATATTCTGTGGCATCTTTACCAAAAATTCTCCATTTTAGAGACTGTCTTCTCCAGAAAGATGTTCCAAATAATCAGTGGAAGTATCTTTTAGATTAATGTCCTAAAAGTCATGTGTAAATTGTTACCACTGAGCCAAATAATTCATCACAGAAGAGCCAAAGCTATGTTATTCTATAAACTTATGTTCATAGTGGTGTCTTTTAGCTTGGAAACTTTCAGACACAGAATGTAACCCCATATTTTTATTTCCCTGAATGATGCATGTAGTGAGTCTAGAAACTTTCCTTATTTTCAGAGAATTTCTGGACTCTATGTGATTGCACCATGAAGATGTTCAGTCACTGTATTTCCCCCTCTTCACAAAAATGGTAGGTTATAAAATACTCTGAGAGACAAGATGCAGAGGCAGGAAGTGCAACTCTATAAAGACCTTTTGATGGGTTCTCCATGGGTCTCTCAAGTTTCTCCACATTCTGCTAGGTGTGCCAAGAAGCCCTTGATTGCTCTTGCCCCAGGCCATTTATCAGGGTTGTGTTTACAGTGTGCAACTTTGAGGAATTAGGTAATGTTTCCCGCCAAGACAAAGAGCAGGCTAGCTTACTGCTTGCTACAAAGTGGTGGATTTCCCAGACTCACTGCAGCTCCACTGCATACACAGCATCCATCTGGGCTGTAGACATTGCTGTAAGACTTGAGGCAAGGGGAACCAACACAAAAATTCTGTTGCTTATGCTGCCTGCTGTGCTGTAATTCAGTTATTTGACTCTGACCCTGACATCTCATGTGTCCTGCCAGTATCCATGAAATAATAATAGACTAATTGCTAGACTATTAGGTAAACTCATACCCTAAACCCAACAGGTTTGAGAAAGGATAAGATGTTAACAGAGACACGGTTTGCTGGAACAGGAAGGAAAAGGGTTCTCTGGGTCAGGTTTGAAGAAATGGCTCTCAGGGTTCCATAAGTGAATGTTCTCACCTATGTATTAGATGAGGGGTGAATAAGGACTAATGAATGGGAGTTAAGATAATGTTTAGAGGCTAAACAGAGAGAGGCAGAAATAAAACAAGCTGCCCAAATGATATCCTGATTTCTCCTCACTCTTCTAAAAGCAAAAAGAATATGTTGTTTTCTTGAGAATAGGACAGCAAGTCCAGCAACCATAGGCAAAAGGCAATGTGACTATGGCTACTGAATCATGGAATCCCCAAATCCAAAATAAATAATGTTGGCAATCAGGACCTCCCTATTCAATATGGAGATTTGGGTGAACTGAATACATAAAAGTTCATTTGGTTGAGTGCCCAGCAGGTGGCCACTCAAAAGAGAGTAAATGCAAATAATAATAATAAAGACTGGGCCAAGTTCACGTATCTGGCTTCTGCTGCAACCTCCTCCTGCCCCACCCAGCTTGGCTGGTAAGGAGAATAAGACACTGGGTGCACAAGTGTCAGGAGGCACTAAGAACTATGATGTGAAATACAGCAGCATGTAGAGGGGCAAAAACAAAAGAGGTTCCAGGGCCCAGGAGGTATACAAGAGAGAAAGGGGTCCCAGAACTAAAGCACCAAGTCCATTGCAAAAGGTTAACAATTAAAAGTGAAATGTAGAGTAATAAAGAATTTTTTTTAAGAAAAGGCTACAATTCAGTTTCCTTCCCACTGCTCCTAC
Organism: Homo sapiens; assembly: GCF_000001405.40. Lineage (NCBI taxonomy): Eukaryota > Metazoa > Chordata > Mammalia > Primates > Hominidae > Homo > Homo sapiens. The sequence continues at coordinate 114,311,729 of NC_000007.14, read as the reverse complement.
TGTCCCTGTAAACTTGACTCCCTACTATCATGTACCCCTCCCCTCTGTTCTCCTAGCTGGGGAATAACATAGTTTTCTACCAGTTGTCACTCTGGCCCCCAACTCAAGCACACATAAGAAACCTTGGTTTGAGTTCCTGCAGAAGGAAAACGCACCAGAATATAACTAAATGGCGTTCAGCTGGGGTTTGCACTGGGGGACTCTTGGGACAATTTAATAATGTAATCTTGTGGCTTCTACTGCTGAAGTATATTTGGCATTGGCAAAACCCTGCCCCTGTCTCTCTTGGACCTGGCTGGATACCACTTTCACCAATCCACAAAGCCACCCTCCTGCTGTGACAGCTAGCAAGAGGCCAAGACCCACAGAACCATCACCACTGCCCCTTTGTCAGCAGGAAACAGTTATGGAAGACTGACCTTTATCCATTTCCCCAAAGAATCTGGGTCTTGGACTCTTGAGGGGGAAAATGTTACAACAGGTCAGTCAGTCATGAGCAGGGAAAGAGAGGCTCCTGCCCAACCTGACAGACACATATCAGGAATGTCAGGTGACCATCAAGTGATGGTCAGGTGGTTGTTAACCATCTCTCTAAAATAATTGGTCACAGCCAGCGCCAGGGAAAGGCAGTCTCCTAATATATAGAAAACACCTGAAACTGGTGATCCGCAACTTCCCTATAAGATCTCCGAAATTGGTCGAGTGGACTCAAGCATGCGCAGGCAGACAGCCCACCCCAAGGGAAGAATCGGGGAGAAGTAACACAAGACCCTGGAAGTATGTCAACATATAAAGGCTCAAGTCAAAAGGTTGAGCTGCACACTTGATCTCTCAAGTCACCCACTTGTCCCTCTTCCAAGTGTACTTTACTTCATTTCTGCTAGAGAGCTTTTTAATAAACTTTCACTCCTGCTCTTAAAAAAGTGTCCCTTAAATGTCAGAAGAAATTCTCCTATTCAGCAATGGCCATATGAAGACAGGCGATAAAGAGATGTGTAATTTCACCCCTTTGTCCCCCACTCCACCTCCCTAACTTCTCCCAGGTTGTCCAACAACAACAACAACAACAACAAACACAGAATCTAAAGAGGAGAAAGGAAAACCACAGCTTCAACTAGAAACTCTGATGCCTGCCAGAGTACTCAGAAAGACCATTTCCAGTAAAATAGTGCCACCTGCCTGATACAGCCACTGTACACCCACTTAAAAAAAAAAAAAAGACAGCTAATCTGCTACTATGCTCTCCTAACACTTGACATATGGAGGACTCTTGTGACCCTCAGTCCTGACATTCCCATTTGAGGGTAGGGTCAACTTGGACATGATGACTATTAAGCTAGGAAGGGCCTTGATAGGCTTCTGTAGTCAAATGGAAATGGTACATTCAAGAGCCAGCTAGCCTAGACCTAGTGGCATCTCAATTTTATATGAACAAGTGGCAGCTACCCCTCTGGGGGAGACATTCACCCTAACCACACCACTCAAGGTAAAGCTGCTAACTCAATTGGTCCCTCAGTTTATAGACTTTCCCTAAATGCCTGGACCTGCTTCCCTGATACTCTGGCTAAGCTGAAACTTCATGATGTTTCCTATACTGCTGCTGCTTACTTACTCAGCTCGATGGGCATAACTCAAGGTAGCAGTAACCAAAACTCCACTTTATGAGCTTTGTCACATTTTTACTATATCTTGGACTGTTGACAATATCCCAGATGTTTGGTCTACCACTCAGAAAAGCAGAGACTGGCAGATTAAAGACACCTCCCACCAGGTGCAGTGGCTCATGCCTTTAATCCCAGCACTGTGGGAGGCCAAGGTGGGAAGATCATTTGAGGCCAGGAGTTCAAGACAAGCCTGGGCAATATAGCAAGCCCCCATATCTAAAAAAAAAAAAAAAAAGAGTTGAGTGTGGTGGCATGTGGCTGTAGTCTCAGTCTTTAGGAGGCTGAAGCTGGAGGATCACGTGAGCCCAAGAGTCAGAAGCTGCAGTGAGCTATGATCACACCACTGCACTCTAGCCTGGGCAACAAAGTAAGACTCTGTCTCAAAGAAAAAAAATATGTATCTCCCTTTAGAGCTGAGAACTATGGGGAAAAAAATGTAGCTGCTGATCAGACAATCTTGAGTCATTCCTAAAGGTGCCTAAAGCCTGTTCTCTGACGAGATCAATTAGAATTAAGATGCTGATCAAGCCTGTCCCAGCCAGACTACCACTATTGCTACCTCTATCCATCATCATACCAGTCATGGCTGTGGACCCACCATCATAAACTGGACACACAATTCAGAGTTCTATGTTTCCGATGCAGAAGCTACCACTGCATGCCAGACTTACAGCACCTGCTATGAACTGGTGCACTGGTATAGCGGTACAGGAAGCCACACTTCGTACGGTGATTGTCAAAAACTGAGAAAGGGTCTAACATTATAGATAACAAGAAACCAGTTTCCTGAGCTTCAGTTTCCACAGAGTGACGAGAAGAGAGCCAAGTGACAACTGCACACAAAGAGGATCACTTATCTTAGGAAACCAGTGTATTTTATAATGGGAGATACACTTGTCTAATCTTTATCTCAGAAGGATACATTGTCTTTATTATAACAAAAAGTGAACAAACCTGCTCTCTGCTGCAAATAAAAGCTGTATCTCTATCTTCCAAAACTGTTTGCTATACACTCTTAAAAATACATTCTGAAAAGATTAGATAGTACCTCTGCTTACAAGATATGTAGAAATTTGAGAAAATCATGGAGAATTACCTCTCAACAGCATTGACTCCACCTGCCCCTGGCAAATTGACTATATCGGTCTTTTGTCTCCCTCCCAGGGCTACTACTGTTGATGCTTCACTGCTGTTGAGACTTTTTGGATTACAATGGCACCGTTTCAGTCTAATCAGCCAACTCTGGCCATGATATTGTGGCCCTGAAACTTAACTATGTCATATTTTCAGCTTTACGGACCACCTACAGATGGACAATTCTACATCTTTTATTGCAAAGATCACCCTACAATAGACTGCAAGCCAAGGTAATTGATGAACAGTCCATGCTTCTACCTTCCACAGGCATCTGGATTGTAGAAGACTGGTAACAGTATCCTCAAAAAGCAATTCAGAAATATTTCTGGTCCTTTATCTCTCTTTTTGGTCTACACACTTTAGCAGGACAATTTGGTCACTAAATGCAGCTGTCCCTTAAAAGGGTTTATCGCCTTTGACCATCTCCTGAATAATGACTAGGATGAAAAGGGTGATGGTTATACAGACCTGTTTTGAAAATTTAGGATTCTACTCTGACCGTTTCTAGATATGATGCACTTTACTTTATCCAAAGTAATCCTCACTTACGAGGAGACCTAGGGAGTTCAAACTAATTGTAGTTCAGTCCCTTGTATACTTTAGTTGGATTGATATAATCCTAGATCATTAGTATAATGACTAATTGGTTGAGTATATTGTTCACTGAGTCCCCCCCAGTGGCCTATGAGGACCAAGGTGGGTTTATCATAGGTTTCTATTTTGTACAAAAGTTCTTCTTCTATTCCCATCTTGCCCTTTAAGATAAAAGATGGAGATGAAACTAGAGGATGTCTGGAAAAAAGATGAAATTATAGCTACTGGAATGTGGTATGCCAAATTTGTGGCTATGGAGTGAAAGCAACAATCCCGGCACTAAGTGAAAACACCTTAGACCCTGGAAGGTGAGAGGTGAGGAACAATTAATTAACGCTCCTTCCCTCCTAGATCTAGTGCCACAGCCCAGCAAAATAATCATATGGTCCATTTAAGTAAAGCAGCTCCTGCAGCTGGTAATGTGACCTGTTGCTCAGTTTATCATCCCCATCCACAGGCTACAAAAACAGACAAGTTCATGTGAACATCATGAGACCTAAACTACTTTGTTGTGCCTGATGCCATCTTTGGCAACTCCTAAACATCCTCTCCCCACCCCCAATGCCAATATGTATTCAAACACATAAACTAATGCAACCTTATTTAAATATGCCTAAAATGAATTCACATTTCTCCTGATGCCCAATTGGCTTTGAGTTATGAAATGTATGGCAATCATAGCTGCAGCTATTCAGTGAATCTGCCTGTCACTTAACCAAACTAAAGTATAAAGATGATCCAAATAAAGTTTGGTAATGCATCTTGAAGAGAACTTATGTACCCCTTTGAGTTACATGTTTGTATATAAAGGAGAAAGGGCCACAGAATGCATATATGTGGGGGTTCTTTTTTGGTCCACCTGTTTCCCCCTGCAATTATTGGTAATGACACTAAATATCAGTGTATCTGTTTAAAGTCCATTGTGCATGTCATTAACTGGCCTTAGACTACATCTTGTCTGGCTAAAATAAGACCTACTAGTCTGTCCTGGCTAGTTATTCAAAATTGGCTGAGTCCAGGACTCGGGGGGCATAAATGTGGTCAATATTTACAGGTGGCCTTAATCCTGCTGCTTGAAATCCTATTAATAGTAGCCTTAGTTAAATGCTTTATGAGACAAATTGAATGATTTAATCCTAACCCCTGTCAGTCAAATTAATCAGAGTGGCCAACAACGTCACCAACTCATGAAAATTCACCAGAAACCAATACAGCATATTTGGTAGGCAGAATAATGGCTTCCCAAAGATGTTCACATCTGAATCCCCAGAACCTTTGAAAATGTTATGTTACATAGCAAAAAGGAATTAAGATTGCAGATGGAATTAAGATTATTAATCAGCTGATCCTAAAATAGGGAGATCGTCTGGAATTAGCCAGTGGACCCACTGTAATCACAAGAGACCTAAATGTGGAAGAGGTAGGCAGAGGAGGCCAATGTCAGAGTTATGTGATGTTAGAAAGGCTCAACCAGTCATTGCTGGCTTTGAAGATGGAAGGAGCCTCCAAGCCAAGAAATGTAGGCAGCCTCTAGAAGCTGGAAAAGGCTAGAAATCGGATTCTTCCCTTGCACCTCCAGAAAAAAAAACATGGTCTTCCTGACACCTTTACTTTAGACCAGTGAAATCTATGTCATACTTCTGACTTCCAGAACTATGAGATAATAAGTTTATGTTGTCTTAAATCACTGAGTTTGCAGTAATTTATTAGAGCAGCCATAAGAAACTAATGTAGTGCAGGGTTCAGACTTGAAAAAGACATTCTCCATGAGCTTCTGGCCCTCCTATACCTTTTGCCAGATGCACCAAGAATACAGATTCTATGCAGTTTTCACCTGATGTATTTCTTAGGGTTGTGTTTGCAGTGAATAACCTTAAGGGATAAGGTATTATATCTGGGACAAAGAGCAGGCTTGCTTATTGTTTTCTATAAACGTAGCAGATATCCCTAGCTGAGTGTTCCTCAGCTGTAATGAATATCCTGTGTGTGCACAGGATCCATTTGGGCCATATTGTATCACCCCTGCAGCACTTGGGAGCAAAGGAAACTAATGTTCATGTGGCTTGCTGTGCTGTAATTAATAGTCCTTTCGCTCTAAGAGTTTCATGTCTTCTGCTAGAATCCACAAAACAGTAACAAGTTGACTTATTACACGTAAGTAGGGTAAAATCAAATACCAGACCTGGTACTCTCTGGCTAATCTAATAACACATTGAGAATCCTATTATTTTAATATACATAATTTCCATTCTCCAAACCACCACAGATTAGGAGTAGCACAGAAAGTGATGGCTTAGATTATTTTTCATGAAGATTAACATTAGTTTGGCTAAAGTATAAAAAAGAAAAAGCCCAGTTGCTTTTTTTATGACTCTCCCCTTGTGCCCAAGGGACAGTATTTATAAGTGGTTAAGACCCACTTATAAGGGCCCAAGTCTGGTTCTTCTATTTATTAGCTATGTGACCTTGGCAAGTTACATAACTTCAAAAATGGGAATAGCAGTACCTATATTATAAGGCCGGTGAAATATTAAATGAGTTAATATGTGTAAAGTGATTAGAAAACCTGGCACAGAGCAAACACAGTAAACTTTAAGTGTTTTCATTAACTGCATTTCAATGATATTACATCAGAACTAGGGAGCATCCAAGGAGCTAGTGGGAAAGAAGGAACAATTCCTCTTCCAGTTCTAAACTTCTTACCGTACAATTTCCTCATAAATGTATAAGGACTGGATGGAATATAAAATAATGGTTTTATAAGAATAATTTTACAGGCGTTGTACTGAATATTGAGAATCATATTTTAAACAGTCATTTAAGATAGCTCTCAAAAGCAGAATTTATTCAAGAACTCTACCTCTGTATTTCTCTGTTACAGAATTTTCAGTGCATTTGAGTAAAACAAATCTGATTAACACTATAATTTAATTTACTTAAAGGAGATGTAATACTCGAAAACTACTGTTATAAGGAGACTTATTCATAGAAGTAAATAAAATAATTATGAAGCTGATGAAATGAATATGTGAGCCATTTTACAAGAGGGATATATTTTTCCTTCTTTTCAATGAACGTTTAAAGCTCTCCTTCAAGCTCTTGGTAAATCTATTGATCTGTGAAACGCAGTGCACTCCAGGGAGGCAATTCAGTTGACGTTAAATATCAAATGATGAGATGAATAATGATCATACCTTTTGGTAATTAAACATCTTACAAACCTTTTAAATGATTCAACATCAGAAAGTCAAATGAGGTCAAGCATATTGTATTTTTTCATTCTTATATTAATCATAAAAATGACAATCTTTTTAAAAGATCTAGAATAATACAGCATAGTAAAAATTTTATAAAATATTTAATGACAAAATATATGATATATCTAGCTTACTATTTGTATAGTTAATGTCTTTTCAGCACACAGAATTGCTTTCTGTTCTTAAATGTTCTATTCTATTCTTAAATGCCTTTAACGTTGTTTCAGAAACATTTCAAACCATTTTTGTGGATGTGCAAAGGAGAACATGTGGGAAATAGTTAACTATTAACAGTAAAGACAAAGTATCATTAAGAGAACATGGATTATAGAGAAAGAAATCATCTGAACTTCAATTTATGAAATTTCCACATGCACACTCTTTTTTTTTTTTTTTTTTTTTTTTTTTGAGACAGAGTCTCACTCTGTCACCTAGGCTGGAGTGCAGTTGCGCGATCTTGGCTCACTGCAACCTCCATATCCTAGGTTCAAGCAATTCTCATGTTTCAGCCTCCTGAGTAGCTGGGACTACAGGCACGCACCACCACTTCTGGCTAATTTTTGTATTTTTAGCAGAGATAATTTTGTCACGTTGGCCAGGCTGGTGTTGAACTCCTGCCCTCAAGTGATCTGCCCACCTTGGCCTCCCAAAGTGTTGGAATTACAGGCATGAGTCACCATGCCCAGCATCTATTTTAACAATATAAAAATGAAGGATAAAAATGAATGATATAATTTTTTATTAACACATTTTATTTATTCTGCATTGCTCAATGCTAGGAGTCTAGCATTGAGCCTCCTCACACTTATTTACCATTCTTCATGTGATTAGCCACTGGAGTTTAAGATGTAAAACTTGGAAACCCATATTAATTAAAGACCTTTAGAAGCTAGAGTGTTTATTTTGTTTGCTAAAGGCTACTTTCTGTGGCCACAAATACTAGGTCACTTGTAATATCACAAGCAAATAATCCTATAGTAAGAACTTTAAAATATTTCAAATAAATCCACGTACCTATTTGTTATTACAGACTACAATGTACTATGTTATCTAATTATAATTGCATTTGAATTCCTTCTGTTAAGTATTTGCCATACTTATTCTCATCAATATACTTAAAAATTATGAAATATTTCATAAAGGTATAAAGCCTGCAGCCATAAAATGTGAAATAATAAATAAGAGAATAAAACATCTCATGTTTCATTCTTAGAGCATCAGTTTATATAGTCAATGTTCTACTTTTATATACTTTGTTTAAAATTAACTTATTTTACAAATTATTCATCACAATGAGTCACAAAGTTCACAACTAACCAATAACTAAACTGTAAAGAAATGAGTTAACTTGCCCCAAAAGTTGAGATTAAAAGTATATTATCAATAAGATTTTTTAAAACCTCTAGTTTCATATTTCTAAGGCAGACAACAAATAGAAAATGGTGAGCAGATTAAGAACACAGAAGGAGTAAAACTCTGGTTCTAAAAGAGATTAACTAGGAAACAAAGGTTTAAAAATGATCTACAAAGAAAAGAGGTAAGGAAAATGGTTACTAGAGGGCATGAAAGATGAATGCTTGATGTGAAGTCATTCTCTGCTCCAGTGCTTTGGTCAAACAAGCCTTCTACTAACATCACTCAATGACTTTCAAATTCACTTTATAAGTGAAGATTTCCTTTAAAACATCATAAGTTCTTTAATAAATATCTCCTATTTCCCAAACATGTCTTAAAATTTTCCCAAATGTAAATATCATTGCCTTCAATCATACCTTTTTTTGTATGTGTAGGATTTTTCACAATCACATTGTCAAAATTCCAAACAGCTCAATTTTATCCTTCAAAAATCATTTCAAGTTCCACGTTATCTGTGACAATTACTCATTTAACAATAAGTGATATGGGGTTTTATTTCAATGATTCAAAATTGTATTAGCTACCTATTGCTGTGTAACAAATTATGACTAACTTGATGCATAATGGAACATGCATTTATTACCCTGCAATTTCTGTGACTCAGGTGTCTGGGCATAGCTTAGCTGAGTCATCTGCTCGGGCTCTCACAAGATTGCAGTTAAGGTATAAACCAGGCTGTGTTCTTTTTCTTGAGCTCAGGACCCCCTTCTAAGCTCACTTGATTGTCGGCAGAATTCATTCCTGGATTTGTAGGACCGAAATCTCCATTTTCTTTCTGGCTCTAGGCTGGGGCTCCTTTCAACTCCTGAGAGGCTGTTGACAGTTCCTTACCATGTGGCCATTTCCCAGCCTTCTCAAAAACATGGCAGCTTGCTTATTCAAGTCCAGCAGAATAATCACTTGCTCCAGTCTGCTAAGATGGAGTCTCATATATTTATGGAATGATTATTCTATCATCTGTGCCATATTCGTTAGCTAGAAACAAGTCATAGGTTCTGCCCTCACTCATTGGAAGGGAATTATACAAAGCTTTGGCTCATTATAGAGTTATCTTTCTGTGTGTCCACCACAATAATTCATAGGTTAAAATTACAGATTCTGAAACCAAACTGCTTAAGTTTAAATACTGTCTCTATTCTTACTAACTTCAAATTATGTTTCTTTATTTTAAAATGGAATAAATGATAGTATTACCTCCTCTTAAAGTTGTTGAGTATTAAATGATTTAATATTTTTTAAAGTGCTTTCAAACTGAGAAGTATGAAGCAACTAGGAACTTCCATATAGGTTTTCATTAATACATGAATATTTGTACATATATATAAATTTATAAAACCCAGTGGTTTTACCATCAAAAGTTCATATGCTGTGACTATAAAGGTGTATATGGTAATTTCTCTGAATGAATCATATTTGCACATGTGTGAGTGCATGCTCTACCAACCACTGTTATAACCTGGAGATTCCTAAAAAACATTTGAATTAGTTAACAAAGATCAAAATATGGAATTACATGTAAGACAGAAGTCAATAAATATTGTTAAGTAATCATGATAATTACAATCTAGAAGTTAAAATTCAATAAGAGTAAATTATGGGTTGACTTCTACTAATCAACAGCCTCAGGGATTTACTTCCACTTTTTATCTTTAATCATTTCTGCTTTTTATACAAATCACTAATGCTGAGCTTGTCAAATGTTGTCATATAGTGATGGGTGATACTTCTACCATTTTAATTACCTTCAATGAGCTGCCTAAAAAGTATGGCAGAAAGCCACAGAAAATTTATACAAATGCCAAGTTCTGGAAGTCAGGGGAAATACTCATGTTTAAGATGTTGACCAGCTCTTGAGATGCAAGGGAATCATTTTAGAAAGTTAATCTTTCTAAACAAACATTCTTAGAGGATTCCTCCAAGTTATGCTGCTAAGATAGGAGACTTTATTTTACAGAATTACAAAATATTATACTTAAAAGAGATCACAGACACCCAGTGCAAAATGCCCTTTTCATTTATATCATTTTCCATCAATAAATCACAGATCTGAACTTCAGAGAGATAAACACACTTGTCCAACTTTACAGATGGTAGCAGAGATGAAGAACTTAGATCTCCCGGTACCAAAACCAAAGCTCCTCAGTGAGGGGCATACCACTATTTAAGAGGAGTTTTGAAAATTATGGGGAGAATTTTTGAGTGTAACAACAATTTGAGACACTGTTAACGTGTGGACAGGAGTTATGTTTGGTAGTCATCCACAATAATGAGGAATGCCATTGCATCTTTCAAGACTTTCTCCAAATATTTGTGAAACTAAAAAACTTGTGACTAGACCTAACCTTATTTTATGTATGAAATAAAGGTATTTTTATATTCTTAATATAGAATGAACTTTCCAGGAGTTCAATGATTCTTATATCAAAGTAATATTTGTTTTGTTTCTCACTTGTCTGGTTTTCAGCGTTTTGAAAAACAGCACTAATGATGGTCTATGTATCACTCTTTTTGGCTGTTAAAATTAAGGCTATTCTGCAAGTAGGGCATTTATATGACTATTTCGTTAAGATAGGGAATATAAATTCTAATTTCAGCATATCAATCATTTACATTATATTGATTTTTGAAATAATATATCTCAAATATATATCTAAAAGTTTACCTTTCATATTAGTAAAGGGAGAATTAAAACATGGTTGTGCAAAAGGGGATTTGTATCTCATTGTCTCATGGGGCTAAGAATCACTTGGCCTAGTCAGCTCTGTCTTAGGATTAATTCTAAATTATCTCTCACAATGAAAAGGAGTGCTTTTCAGATTTTATGAAAGACAGTTTTTAAAGATAAGCCATTTAGTAGCTAACATTTACATGTTTTGAAAAGTGTACAGATACCAATGAAAAAAAACTTTCCAGGTGAAAATTCCAGTTTCTAATGATGTTGTGATTCACAACAACATTGTCTTTACAGGTATTAAAATTCTGAGCAGAAACACAAGAAAAGATATATTAAATCGTTATTACTAAGAATGCTTGAGGAATGAGGCATCTGGTTAATTATACCTATAGTAGTGTACTACTCAGAGAATTGCAACCAGTTGAGAATAAGAACTTTTTCTATTTTATTTTAATATTTTTTCTTGTTTCAGGAAAAAAATGGGTTTGATGAACAAAGTTGAAATAATATAGAAAATCATTAAATGTATAAATAGGAAAATGAAAATCTTTTATATACCTCTATCTCCCAGAAATAATCACTGATATTTTTGCAAATAATAATTTTCCAATAAATAAATACATATTTTAAGGACAAAATATGTTATTTAAATAGTGCTTCGCACCTGCATTATTCATTTATCTAAATATTATTTGTTATTCTATTGTTTTATATACTCTAACTTAACCAGTTCCCTTTCCTATGGTTATATAGATTGAATCGTCATCTGTGATGTAAGGAAATATGGAATCTATATATCTAATTGCCTAAAGTATAACAATAAGAACCAGAGAAGCAGCTATCTTCAGATAAGAAAAAGCTAGTAGCTTAAATCTCTTTTCCATTTCCTATCAAAAATCCCACCAAAAGTAAAGTTGTGTGTGTGTGTGAGTGTGTGTACGTGTGTGTGTGTGAGTGTGTGTAAGGGTAGCTGCTGGAAGAATTGGAATAAGCCTTCCTGTAAGAAAATGTCACAGAAATTGCAAGGAATATCTATGTCAACCTGAAAGTGTAAATGAGTACTGTGTAATCCTTTGATTTCCTTAAATCATTTTCAGAAGACAAAAGACAAAGAAACCACTTTTTGATTCATTTTAATAACCTTTCTGAACTCTTGGGAGATAAACTTCCATCCCTGTTTTCCCTATTAAAGCTCCTCAATCCTCTTCCCTAAACCCACCCTGCATTATGCAAATAGAAATCCCTGTAATGTGAAAGTCTGGTGAGGGTCCAACTCCTCAAATAATGATTAAAATGAGTATATTAGTTAGAATATTTATAGCTTTAAGTGACAAAAATTCTAAATCAAAATATATTAAATAGAAAGTTACCATCCCAGTTGATCAAGAGGTAGAAAGGGCTTCATGTTTAATAAATTAAACACTAAATTTATTTATTTATATAACCTTAGAGAAGTTACTTAACATTATTTAATATAAATTAAATTAATAAAAAAATATAAATAAGCCATACTGGCAAAAGAATAGGATTATCATAATTGGTTTTACCTAGTCAGGATCCACCTCTTGGAACTAGATATGGGATCAGTTTCCCATGAAGTATATGTTATGTATAGTAATAAAGTATGTCTTAATAACATCAGGGTTCTGTTAGCAAAGAAAAAAGAGAAGAAAGGATGTTGGAATGACAACTAACAGCTTCTGCTTCAAGTAGGGTGTCCATACATCTTCACCCAAGATAGTCCCAATATATACCTATTGCTTGGGGTAAATACTAACAGAATCCTTTTTACTCACAAAAGCATCTTGAATGATATATTGTATAGTTATTTACCTTGAGCAGTATATTTTTAAGATTGCAAATTAAGTTTTAGTATATTTTTGTTATAATTATGTAAGATAATTAAACCTATAGTGAAAATAAAAATAAAGTTTCAGAATGCATGTTAGCCTACTAAAATTTTAAAGTATATGAAACAATCCCTTTCAGTTGACTGAAACACTAAATACAAGTCATTATTTCTAATTTTGTACGTATGGTTCATGAGTTCTTACTAATATTTTCATACCTTACTCCACGTGCCTCTATTTGAAAGTAAAGTGACTTATTTAAAATACATTCCATAATTCAGAAGTTAACTGATTTCGACTATGTTGGCTTCCAAAAATTTAATATACAGGTGTGGAACTGCATCATAAACCTTTTTATGCTTAAATACATACTGTGTTTCAGGCCACCAGGGAAACCACATGAGAAGAGAAGTTGTTCAATTGTCCTGGGCAATAGACTACTGGAGAGATTTGAAGCTAAACTGCCTTAGTTCAAGTCTTAGTTCTGTCACACAGTAACCAGGTAACACTGGGCAAATTATTTAACTTTTCTGAGCACCACACCTTCATCTGTTAAATGAAGATTATATTGCCTTCTACCTCACAAGTATGTAACTATTAGATTGGGAATATTAAGTCAGCTAATGCTGGTGGATAACTGAGAAGAATACCTGATATTACAACATGTTGGATAGTATTATTATTGTTATTACTATTATCGTTTTTATTATTTGAAGCTCAGCGTGCTGACTGAGAGACCAGACAGTAATATCAAAGAACATACACTACTTAATACTAATAATATAAAGGAGACAATGAAGTATTTTGAAAAGGAGAATGAAGCATAAAGACAAAGCAGAAACAAGTGGCGAACAGAGAGACAGGAGAAGTCAAGGGTGAGCACAGGAAATGACTTAACAAACGCAGCTCTTCTGCTACAAGTTCTCTGATCTGCAGTTTGGCATGTTGCTACAAGTCTAGAATATATTGTTAAAGGAACTAAGCTTTGTCAGATTTCCATGTAATGCTCTCCTCATTTTGAGAAAACTTTTCCTGACACACGATTTCCTGAGGGCAAGTTCACACTCAAAACCAAAATCTCAAAAGAAATAAACGGTTGGAGTCCATAGCAAATAAGATGTACTTCTAGATAAAGGAATAGACTTTAACACTTACTGATCAATCAGAAGGAAATAAGTATAGAATATAATAATGAAGATAAGTATACAATATAACGGCACTGGAACACTAAAAATACAGCATTATTTTAAAAATATTGGGTAACTAATTATACTTTCAGCCCCACTATATGAGGAAAAACTACAATGTGACAACCTCTCTGTCAGTTCACTCACAAGGGAACATGGAGCATGTTTATTTTTATTCAGCCTCACATACTTTTGGAGACAACCCGAACCCTGAAATTGACTGAACCTCGAAACTGACTGAATCCCATGGAGGAAAAATAGTCAAAGTTATGGTCAAGAACTAAAGCAGCTCTTAACTGACAACGTTACTTTAAAAGGCAAAAAAGTGTCAAGGACTTCTTTCAGATGGCTTATTGTTCTTATGAGAATGTAATGTATCCTTTATGCCTAACTGTGACAGGGTTAGTGGAAATCATTATAAAAAATAGTTAATAGTTGTGCGAATTGATGGACTATTGGGCACTTAGAGGCAAAAAATGCATATAGTGCTTCCACTACGGCAGCCATTGAAGAGCAGCAGCCATGGCTCTGGGCTACCCCTATGACAGTGGGCCTCAACAAGGGCCACAAGGTGACCAAGAACGTGAGCAAGCCCAGGCACAGCCGCCACCACGGGCGCCTGACCAAGCACACCAAGTTTGCGTGGGACATGATTCAGAGGTGTGTGGGTTCGCCCCATAGGAGCTGCGCGCCATGGAGTCACTGAAGGTCTCCAAGGACAAACGGGCCCTCAAGTTTCATCGAGAAAAGGGTGGGGACACATCCACGCCAAGAGGAAGCAGGAGGAGCTGAGAAACGTTCTGGGCGCCATGAGGAAAGTCGCTGCCAAGAAAGACTGAGCCCCCTGCCCTGCCCTCTCCCTGAAATAAAGGGCAGCTTGACAGGAAAAAAAAAAATGCATATAGTGGATATAACTAAAAAGTAAGCATAAATCATCACCTGTGAAACAAATGAAATGTTTTAGCAAAATTTTTAAAAAATTAACTATACACATTTAAGAGGGGCACAGATAGAAATTATCTTAAATTTGGAGAAACTACAAGATAAATTATAAGAGAAAGATTAATGTGACAGAATCTTTATAAGGTTGAAGAGAGATACTGCCTTTAATCAGCAAGTTCAGAAATTTTCTTATAAAATTCTTTTATTGATCTGTCCTCTATAAATGTTTACTTTTCATCTGACCTAGCAATCATATAAGAGATCTTCATTTCTCTGCATCAGATGTTCAAAATATCTTCATGCAAGGGCTCAGATCTTTGTATTTCACAAATCATATGTGTCAATATATGTTATTGCGGCATTATATGCTATTGTAAGTTCACAGGATTCAAGATGCTAAGGTCACTCTAACATTTTTCTTCCTTCCCCTAATTATTTCACATGATATGTAAAACACATATATTGTAATTATTCTTTGACTAAACCTAACAGTCTTATTCAAAAAGAAAAAAAAAACTCCACAGGATACTTTTCAGAAAAGGTTGTTCTTATGTGAACACATAATCTTGATTAGTGAATAAAATGCTCAAAATTAATACTATCTTTGGGTAAGCTAAGGTTTACTGCTATTTTCCAAACTTAGGATTCTAAAGTGTACTCTGGCAAATCCATTCATTTGTGTTGTTTATTAAATTATCTGAGACTACTGATTCATACACTTAAGTGTCACAAAAAGAGAAAGAAAAAAAAATCATCACAATATTGTAGTCCCAAAAGTTTTTATTCATATTACTCTCTTGGAGAGAACCCATTGTTTAACACCAAAAATAACATGGCAGTTGAGAATTATATTTAACATTTAATTGTACTGAAAAACCTAAATATTTTAGGTCTAACATATCAAGAATATTTACCCCTTAATATACTGAAGATAAAAAGTATTCTGTTTCACTGCTTTGCTTTCTTTATGGGCTTAAACCTGGCAAATTATTCCATTTGATTTCAGAGAATTCTCCTATGGCAATCTATTTTATTTACTTTATCTTCAATAAAATGGTTCAGTGAGCATTAGCAACTCCGAGACACAAGTTTCAATCAGTCTTCAGGCAAAGGAGTCAATCTAAATTAGACCTACTGTGCTGTGAGCTGCAGCTAAAAAGTTGGAATAAGGCAAAGCAACAGTGAAAATGTGAGCCAAGCCTAATAAAGGCCACAGAAAAGAGAAAGAAAGCTCTCCCCAGGCTCTCACATGCATTGCTTATACAATACCAGGTGCCAGGTTCAACACATGAAGAGCTCCTTAATAAGGCTGACAGCTAAAAGGAGGCTTCAGACTATAACTTCATTTTACATGACACCTACAGTAATAGTCCTCTGTTCTCTGGCAGACAATAGTAAAAACTCAAATTGCCAACAGTTTAAAATGAGGTTTCATAGTCATCCCTTGGATATCATATAGGGGAAAAAAACGAAAACATTCAAGCTGCATGGTATCTCTTCTACAGCATTTTCATACAATTACTAATGTAACAGTAGTTTCAGTGAACCTTTCCTTACAAATTTGTATGACATTTTAAATATAGCTGCTGGATTAGATTTTAACCACAAAACAATCAGTAAGTTTGAGCAACAACTCATTTTGGAAAATGATATCATTAAAGACTAATTCCAAGAAATGTGGGGTAGTACTGTTAGATGCCATGAAAATGTCTCCCAAAGCACAAACTTTGTAATAAGTGATGCTGGTTCATACTTGATATGGGCTGTAAAAAGCAGATTATTGTAATGGTGCACTTCCCAGCAAATAAGACCATTAAAAGGGTACTTAATGTTCAGTTGAATTGAAAAGCAGGCCAGTTAAAATCCATATTTTCTATTTTGTATAATGATATCAAAAATTTTACTAGCGGATAGTTCCAAGCCACAAGTTTAAAACTATAAACATAAACTCTCATTTAAAAATATGAACAAGTTATCGTTTTCTTTTTTTAATATAGTGCATTATGTTTGTCCAAATTCTATCATCACATCAATAGGAATGAAATTTGGAATTATGGTTTAATGAGAATTTATGTATGTATGTATGTATGTATGTATATATGCATGCATGCATGTATGTATGTATGTATGTATGTATGTATGTATTTATTTATTTATTTATTTATTTTGAGGCAGTGTCTCCTTCTGTTGCCCAGGCTGGAATGCGGTGGCACAATCCCAGCTCACTGCAACCTCCGCCTCCCGGGTTCAAGTGATTCTCCTGCCTCAGCCTCCTGAGTAGCTGGGATTACAGGCGTCCACCATCATGCCCAGCTGATTTTTGTATTTTCAGTAAAGACGGAGTTTCACCATGTTGGTCAGGCTGGTCTCTAACTCCTGATCTCAGGTGATCCCCCTGCCTCAGCCTCTGAAAGTGATGGGATTACAGGTGTAAGCCACCACACCCAGCTGAGAATTTATTTTTTTTAAATGTTGTTCTATTACTTGCTGATACATACTTTTCAATTCACTTTTCTGGAAACCAAACGTATTATTTTTCTAGTGAGCTCAATGCTTCAAAGTACAGCACTCCAAATATGTGTACACATATCTAGATACTTCCGTGTGACTCTAGTATTTACACCTCCATAAAGGGCATTAAAAGATAGCAGAAAACTATCAGGATAGATTAGTAGAAGAGATACTGCAAGCCCAGATCCTGTTAGCATATGGGTATTTATTCCAAGCAGCTCTTCTACAAAGAATGAGTATCAGACCAGCATGCAGACGTACGCAGTCATGAGTAAGCACAACTCTCCAACATTGATATGATCAATGGGCAAGATATTAAAAGCAGCTTCTGCATGTTGCAAAATCAGTATTCCAGGTGAATCTAAACATTTCACATTTTCTTTCCATTTGGCTATCTTGTAAATATACATACCTATCTCTTCTATTACATATGCCTGAGAGACATCATATTTCATAGACTGTTAATCTTTATATTCCCCTCAAAGTCAAGGGCAGTGCTGAAATTTGTGCATATAATTTTAGGGCTGAAATATTATATAATGTATTAATTATCTATGAGTGCATAAAAATTACCACCCAAACTTAGCAGTTTAGAACAAAACCATTTATTATCTTGTATGAGTCTGTTCTCACGCTCCTATGAAGAAATACCTCAAACTGGGTAATTTATAAAGTAAACAGGTTTAATTGACTCACAGTTCCACATGGCTGGGGAGGCCTCAGGAAACTTACAATAGTGGCAGAAGGCACTTCTTCTGAAGACAGGGTGGTAGGAGAGAGAATGAGTGCCTAGTGAAGGGGGAAGCCCCCCATACAGCCACCAGATCTCCTGAGAACTCACTATCACAAGAACAGGATGGGGGAACTGCCCCATGATTCACTTATCTCCACCTGGTCCCTCCCACAACAAGTGGGGATTATGAAAACTGCAATTCAAGATGAGATCTGGGTGCTGACACAGCCAAATTATATCATATCTCAAATAGTTACTGAGGCTCAGGAATCAAGGGGTGGTTTAGCTGGGTGGCTTAGACTCAGAGTCTTTCAGGAAGTTGCACATTGTTTGTGGGCTCCTTCCTGGCTGTTTGCTAAAGGGCTTAGTTCCTCACTATGAATACCTCTCCATGGCAGCCAGCCTCCCCCAGAGCAAGTCATTTGAAAGAATGGGAGAGACAGAAACAGAGACAAAGATAAGAGACAGAAACAGAGAGAGATAGAGGCAAGAGAGAGGGAGAAAGAAAGGAAACTCAAAACATATGTCTTAATATCATGCATAACCTAATCAGAAAAGCAACATACCAGCAAACAGAACTTGTGCCGTATTCTATTGATGACATAGGCCAACCCTGGTAAATATGGGGGAAAAAATATAATGGAGTGAAAACCAGAAAATGGGGACCATCTTAGAGGCTGCCTACCACAGCTATCCCTCTGGACTCCAGTGATTCGTGTTTTTCCCATATGTAATTGGTTTCAAAGGTGTAAGTTGTAATGGATTCTCACAAGTAACTTAAGGGTTATTCGAGGTATATATTTCAAATTACTGAGCCAATATACGAATGAATAACTTATAAAGAACATCTTCTGAAATATGACTGTCAAAATGAATACTGGCTGTTAGACCACTGTTCTAAATCAAGAAGGTGTTTTACATATTCAGTGAATATTTCTAAAGATACTATTATATGCAACATTGTAAGAAACACACAAATGAGCAACATTCTGTGATCTCTATGGATAGCAGGGGAATGAGATTAATGATCACATGTTTGCAACATCCGATTGACTATGATAGGGTAAGATACTATGCAGAAAAAGTCCTAGGCTAGCTAAAAAGGAGGTAAGAAATAAGAAAAATATAGTGGAAAAGGTAGAAATTTAAATGTGCTTTAAAAAGATAAAGAATGGGACAGAAACAATGAGAAAGATGTACATTGACAAAGATGTAGGCAAGAAAGCGTAAAACATGTAGTTAAAGGTATACATATCAGAGTAAAGAGAAAAGGTAAGATATTTGGGTTTTGCCACATTCTGGAGTGTACTAAATACCACACTAGGCTGTAATTAGTCTGGTGGTTTTAGCCAGCTTGAAGCAATGGATGAATTTTAGGCAAAGAGGAATAGTCTGCTGGGAACTGTACTGTAAGAAAACTCTATGAAAATAAAATTTTACATGTTTCAACAATATTCTTATTATTAACTATAACATAATTATAAAACGTTAAAGTAACATATTTCATGAATTTTAAGTTTAACATGCTTTGGCAGACAGTCTCTAGAGTGGCCCCCAAGTTCATGCCCTGTAAAATTCCTTCCCCTTGAGTGTGGGCAGGACCTGTGACTTGATTCCAGCCAACAGAACATGGCAAAGGTTGTGTATTGTCACTCTGATGATTATTTTAAAATACATACATACATTATACACATACATATATGCACACACATCCATATATACACACATATATGTGTATGTGTTTTAATGTTATATCTATATATTATCTATAATATATATTCTATATATTATCTATAATATATATTCTATATATTATCTATAATATATATTCTATATATTATCTATAATATATATTCTATATATTATCTATAATATATATTCTATATATTATCTATATATTATATATAAAATGTTATATATATATAAAACATTATATATGTATTATATATAGATTCCATTTTGCTAGCTCTCCTGCTGGCTTTAAAGTAGCAAGACTGCTATTTGTAAACTGTGTATGGAGAGTGCCACATGGGAGGAACTGTAGGTGGAATTTAGAGGCTAAGGATCTCAGTCCTAAAACTGCAGTGGACTGAATTCAGCCAAAAACCCGTGAGTTTGGAAGAGGACCCTGAGCTCTAAATGAAAATGCAACCTGGCTGACATTTTGATTGCAGCCTTTTAAGACCCTAAGCTAAACTGTGCCTGGACTCCTTACCCACAGAAATTGTGAGATGATACATGTATGTTGTTTTAAGCTTCTACATATATGAAAATTCATCATATGGTAATAGAAAACTAATACACATTCTAACCAAACACAGAGAGCACAGGTACATAATGCAATACACTGAATATTTGTGTTGTCCCCAAATTCCTATGTTAAAATCCTACCCCGCAATGTGATGGTACTAGGAGGTAGAACCTTTGGTAGGTAGTTAGGCCATGAAGATGGAGCCCTCATGAATGTGATTAGTGCCCTTTTTATAAAAGGAACCCCAGAGAGTTCTCTCATCCCCTTTCTGCCATGTGAGGACACGAGAAAGAAGATGGCAGTCTATAACCTGAAAGAAGGCCCTCACCAGAGGTTGACACCCTGAACTTAATCTTCCAGCACCCATTACTGTGAGAAATTAAATTTCTGTTTATAATCCATTCAGTCTATGGTACTTTGTTATAACAGCATAAAATAACTAAGATACAGAATTAACTCATATTTAGCATTTCTTGTAAGACCCATGATTAGACATAAATTAGATTATCCTATACAGGGTATTTTCCATGTGGCCTGAATAATACAGTCAACGATTGAAATGAATATAATGGAAAATAAAATAATACTGACTTTTTAAATGTTCATTATGCCCTTTTTATGTGTTCACACAATTAATCCTCAATTCAACTGTATTAAATACGAACTGTTATCTCTATTCTCTAGATTGACAAATTAAGCGTAAAAGAGCCTTGGTGATTTGTTCAAGGTTTCATATAAGGTAGGTTTGTATTGGAACTATCATTCAAACCCAGGCAATCTGATTTCCAACCTTGCATTCTCAATAGCTCCACTCTAAACCCTCTATTTGCAGTCTTGCTCACTCTGTTTCCTTTTGACAATGAATGTCAGTACACTATCTGTCTGAACTGCTGACCCAACACCCTGTCTGCCAAACCAGCTTCCTACATAGTCCATTTACTTTTTAATAATTTCAAAAATAGAGCAAATATTTTTCATATGATACCTAATCTTTAATAAGTATTTATGAAATTTATAGCAATTTTCTATAAATATATGAATGAAAATTATTTCTACTGAATTAACTAAAACTGATATTTCATTTGAGCTTAATAGTCTTGCAGTGGAAACTCTGAAAATAACTGAATATCTTGAAGTAAAACACATCCACCCACATGCCTAACTATGCATTTACCCACATATACAAATAATCTCAGTTATAAGTTGTATGAAACATTTTAGTTCCCATGTTATAAGTATTATGTAGGGCAGGTTATTTAACTTCTTTGAGAGGTGAAATGGAGATAAAACTAAAAAAAAAATTGTTTGAAAATAGGAGGTTTGAACCAAGTTCCATTTAGTGGATTTTCTAGGGGGAAGGGAGCAGAGAAGAAAAAATCCAGTATTTTTTGAAAATAGCTATGTACCAAGTGCTAAATTTTCACAAGAATACAATAAACAGATCTATCAGTCCCCTATTTTACTCTTTGAGAGCTGAGAAGCAAAAATTAACAGAGGTTAATTTAAAAAGCCAAAAAATAGCAACAAGGATGCAAACTCCTATCAACCTGACCCCAAAATCTTTGCTTCTCCAACATTTTCTTCCTCCCTTATAATCATACTTCCAGCTCAAGGGTTCAAAATTCTATACATTTACAAGAAAAAATAATGCTTTTTCAGAATTCACTTTCCCATTAGGATGAACCTTTGGCATTATGCATATTCATTATTTACACCAATATGTGGTTAGTGTTTGTTTAAAAATATTTAAAAACTGCCACTATAAGCACATAACTACCAAAAGTCTAAGTAGCACATTCCAAAATCAGTTTGAGGACTAACTTCAAGTGCAATTATATTCTCTTCTAGGAATTCTCTACTTTTAAAAAATAGTTTCTTTCATGATTCCATGATTCATTCTTTCCTGGTTCATTGTTAGATCATTCCTGCTTATTATAAATCTAAACTCCATCTGCTATGATACAAATAAACATCCTGTTACTCAAAAGTAATAACTTATATATCAAAAGGCTATATAAAGATAGAGTATATTGGTATAACCATTATCTATGGCAAACATACAAATAATGTCCCCACTCACCACAAAAAAGACTGAGTGTTAGCAGACATGTGTTCTATCTCTAATTGTTTATTACTAGCTATAAAATCACAACAAGCTACATAACTTTTTCCAGATCATTTTAATTACTTGTCTTTGTTTCTCCACTTATCAAAGAATAATAATGTCAACCTTACTTACATCATAAATTAAGAGTAAAATGAAGTAAAAGGTTGCCAAAGGGCTTTGAAAATCTTAAATGTTAGATAAATGTGGGATCATTTTAATGTCTATCTGGTAAAATACTAAAACTGGTAAGAAATGAACCAAAAAACAATCCATAGGCCAAACAGAAGGTAAAATACCTGGGAAATATTTAACTGTATAATTAAAGAACATTGACAAAAATCTCTCAGAGAAATTACGAAGTGTATCTTGAGAGAGTTGTAGAAATTGCTAGAGAAATTTAGGTAGAAAGTGAAGATCCTGAGGCCTATACTATGCTCATGGTGAAACTCTTAATGAAGAATTCTGAAGAAGCCCGGGCATTTTGGTTTCCCTCTCTCTTGAGGTAAAGATTGGGGAAAGAAATGATATAAACTACTAGGAAGCTTTGAAATACAAACTCTGCCTAAAATTGCTTTTAGGTTTCCTTTAAAATTATATTATTCTAAATTTGGATACTCATGACAAACCGTTTGATTGATATTACAGTTCAACAGTGAAACTGAAAATCCAATTTTACATAAATATTATATATTGAGAAAGTTTATATGTTAACATTGTACATATCAAAGAAAACTATCATGAGATTTAAAGATACTCAACATTAAAAAAGAAAACAAATCTTTCAAAATAGCTGACTGGATCTCAAAAATTGTATTAGAAAAATCAAATTTTCTAGAAAAAAATTCATTACTGGTATATTATTCTCATTATTTCCTCAATATTTCAGATCCCCCCAAAACTTCAATACCAAATGAACTTTTAAAAAATAATACTGAAAAGACCAGCATAATAAAAGGCAAGTACAATGGTAACAAGATTCTCCAAGTGCTTTCCTTGCCTAATAATTTACTTTTAATATTTCAAACCAAATTCATATTCCCCATAAGTGTATACTGGTTTTAAAAAGTGATACCAAGTTTAATAGAAAGAGAGCAGCAAGCAGTGAAATGGGAATCCCAATAGCAGTGATTAATATTTCTACTGCCACACTTAACATGTCTCAATTGTCCGCTGAAAACAACTTCTTAACATTTGGGCAAACATATTTAACCAAAAAAACTAAAGAGTAAAATCAGCATTAGAAAAATAAAAATAAGCACAATGACCAAAGGAGAATTTTTACCAAAAGGACACTTACCTGTTTCTTCCAGATCTTCCACAAGACTTTCGAATTAACCTTGAAACGGAGTCCTAGGAAAATTCAATCCCAGCATCACATTAGAGTAGACCTGTTAATAGAGACAAATAATTGTCACTGCTTAGAAAATTAAATTTAAATTTACATCACAATTAGTGCAGTGACTTCACAGAACATAAAACATATTCATCCTTTAAAATAAAAATTGTTAATGTTAACATGCATTACTTTGTGAATATTCAAATACACATAAAAATGCTTTTTCTACATTTTAATTTAGAGAACTTTCAAGACATTGTTTGGTATAAAGCAAAGGCCACGGAGACAGCATAAGATGCACTTCCAAGAGATGGAGATTTTGTTTCCCACTCTCATTGATTTGGCAAGTTTAAACTTTTCAGTGATTAACTTTTATAATTTACAGAAAAAATTATTTGCGTCTCCAATTTCTTAACTGAAAACATAACTGATTTCAATTGCCTCTTCAACACATACTTAATGAGCTTTGTAGGATTTTCCACAATTAACAAATTGGTAGTAAGCATTTACTCCTCATAATCACAATGTAAGGATCATTATTTAAATGCTTATTTAAGTTTGTATTTCCCAGATCCATTTCCGATTCAACTACTCTCGTTTTCTAGTTTCTTCCTTCTTTAATCTGAGAGATTTAGCTCACACCTTTCTTAGACTAAAATATGTTAAATGTATTGAAGGTCCACTAAAATTATAGAACTTAGTACTATATAGCTCAGTCTTGTCCAACTCGTGGCCAGGACGGCTTTGAATGCAGCCCAACACAAATTTGTAAAGTTTCTTAAAACATTATGAGACTTTTTGCAGTTTTTTTTTTCTTTTTTAGTTCATCAGCTATCGTTAGTGTTAGTGTATTTTATGTGTGGCCCAAGACAATTCTTCTTCTTCCAATGTGGCCCAGGGAAGCCAAAAGATTGGATACCCCTGTTATAGATAGTAAATGGGTTTTGACTCACATAACACTCTGATTGATCGGTAGTGACTAAATGGAGAGCTGTATGGAGAGTAAATCTGAATCTGCCACAGGAAGTTCTGTGTTCAATTAGCAATGTCTGCCATAGGCATTGAAAAGGATGACTGGCATCACTTGCCATCTTTGTTGAACATTTAGACATTTCACTAATTGTATTGAAATCATTTCTAAACACTTTTAAGCTAAAGAACCCTTTCTTGCAATAAAACCTTAGTCCAGGGCCAATTAACAATCACGTATTCTGGTTGAATCCCACCTCCAAATACTCAGTGCCACCATTACTCCTTTCCTTGGGTACTTTTGGTGTTCACAAAGCATTAGGTATTCTACAGAGCATAATCCGAAACCACTGTTTAGTGAATTGTAAGTATTAAGGTAACTCAAAGTCATAAACATTAAGGTAATTGGAATTCCTGTTCTTCATATTCCTTTTATTCTTTCTCTATTGGTTCTGTTGTCCACATTTCTCTTAACAATAAAATTTTCTACATTAGCAGGCCCCACTCTTGGCTTTCCTTATGTTAATTTTTCTTCCACAATTATACTCTGCCTAATATATGCCACCAAAAGAAGTGGATTTCTTTAGTATAAGTCTAAATTATTTCATAATTTTATATTGACTTATTTTCCCTTGCCAATATTCATAGGGAAACTTCTCCAACTTTTTCTAAATCAGTCTATAAATTCTAGATTTTTAAAAGAAAATCCACAAACTCATTTTTAAACCCATTTAAAAGCATATGCTATAAAAGGTCTATTAATATCAAAGTAAAGTTCAAAAATGAAGGGCAAAGAGAGAAAACCTACTCTATAAAATATTAACATGTACTAAAAAGCCCAGTACAGCTGCAGGCACATAGAGTTCATATATACATATATATAACAGCTCATACATACATGAGAGTGTTATATATAATAACATCACAAAGTAAAAGAAAATACTGGTGTTGGCTTACTGTATAGAGCAAAAACTGATCTAAGAATCGGGCAGAAAGTAAAGTGGGCACCTTATCACACCATATAGAAATTTGAATTTCTGAGAGATTAAAGAAGTTATTAAGAAAAAAAATTAGGCAAATATTTTTGAGACACACATGTAACAACTTTCTGAAACATGGCCTAAAAAGCATAAATGATAAGACATAAAATTAATTGATTTTGCTAAAAAAATGAAAATTTTCAGTTAAGGATACCATAGATAATTTCATAGGTAAACTGAGAGAACACCTAAAACCAATGAGGAATTAATACTGGTTAACATATACTTATATATTCAGAGGAAACCAATAGAAAAATGAGCAAAGAACCTTGAAAAGGAAATGTTCAGAAGCAGAAGCCCATACTGTTTAAAACTCATAAAATCACTAGCAATCAGGAAGATGCAAATTAAAAAACCAATGAGATACCACTTTATGTCATCAGAAGAGCATGAATTTGAATGAATTCTGCGCAGTGTTGATAAGAATATAGAAAGATGAGAACTCTTGTTTACTGCTAACAAAAGCATAAATTATAAAGTTATTCTTCAAAACAATTTGGAAGACCTAACATGTCTATGTTCTTTATGCTCTCAAAGCACCCTATGGGCACCTCTACTGTAAAATATATTAGCTTAAATCTCATGTCATGTTCTTATTTACATACCTTTCTCTCCCACAAACTTCTCCATTTTCTTTACTCAAAACTCCTGTTGAAACTGATAAATGAAGAAATAGCAATAAGCATATTATTTAGGTAATAGAAGTAAATACCAGAAGCACATTGCCACTGTGTAGCTGAAGTAGGTAGTGAGAAAATACAAGCCACAGGGCTGCTATTTTTCATTTTAATAATCCCTATATTCCATTTGATTTTTTAACTCTGTGCCTGTATTTCTTGAAGAAAGTCACATACCAAAAAAACCCAAAAAACTAATTTTATTATTTATTTTTTAAACTTTAAGTTCAGGGGTACAGTGCAGGTAATTTCATGCCACAGGGACTTCTTATACAGACTATTTTGTCATGCAGGTATTGAGCCTAGTACACTTTAGTTATTTTTTCTAATCCTCCCCCTCCTCCCACCCTCAACCCTTTGGTAGGCCGCAGTATCTGTTGTTCCCCTTTATGCGTCTATGTGTTCTCATCATTTAGCTCCCATTCGTAAGTGTAAGTATGCAGTATTTGCTTTTCTGTTCCTGCATTAGTTTGCTAAGGATAATGGCCTCCAGTTCCATCCCTGTTCCTGCAAAGTATATCACCTCATTTCTTTTTATGACTGCATAGTATTCCATGGTCTACTGTTGATGAGCGTTTAGGTTGACTCCATGTTTTGCTATTGTGAATAGTGCTACAAGGAACATATGTGAGCATGTGTCTTTACGACAGAACAATTTATATTCCTTTGGGTATACACCCAGTAACAGGATTGCTGTGTTGAATGGTAGTTCTGTTTTTAGGTCTTTACAGAATAGCCACAGTTTTCTATAATGGTTGAACTAATTTACACTTCCACCAACAACGTATAAGCATTCCTTTTTTTCCATAGCATAGATTATGGTGCACAGTGATCATAATAATCAGAACCAAATGTTCACTTAATGATATATAGAAAACTCTTATTTTAGAAACCTAAAGCCATAAAAAGAAAATAAGATAATTTGAAGGAGACAGAAACTGAACTAGAGAGGCTAACTAGAGTTCTCTTATATACACACATTCACACACATTATTTGTTGCAACTATATGTCACACACTGTCCTGGTTCTGGGTTAAAATCACAACTCTGCTCTTATGGAATATGCAATATGGTTAGGAATATGTAAGGGATGGGCTTTTTTTTTTTTAACAATGTGCTGAGAGACAGGGTATATACAGGAGCAGCACCCAGTTGAAGCTTAGGCAGTCAGATAACTCTGCCTGAGTGAAAGGATCCGTGTGCCATTCATGTATAGAAACATTCCCTTTTCTAATTTCTTCTAGCCTTTTAAATTGGATTACAAATTTGTTGAGGTATGCTGTGGCAGGCAAAAGAACATCACTCAGACATTCCCAGACCATTTGACCTATCTTCTGTAAGGAATTATATTAGATAAAGTGAATAATTAGTAGAAGATTTATTAGTTTTTTTATGTGTTTTGTTTTGTTTTGCTCTTCTTTTTAGATAGGGTCTTGCTCAGTCACCAAGGTTAGAGTGCAGTGGTGCGATTGTAGCTCATTACAGTCTCCAATTCCCAGGCTCAAGCTATTCTCCCACCTCAGCCCCCACAAGTAGCTGGGACTCCGGGTGTGAGCCACACACCTGAGTAATTTTTTCACTTTTTGTAGAGTCAGAGTCTCCCTATGTTGCCCAAGCTGGTTTCGACCTCCTGGGCTCAAGCAATCCTCTCATATTAGCCTCCCAAAGTGCTGGGATTGCAGGCATGAGCCAACTATGCCCAGCCTAGGTGATTTATTTTTGTTTAATTTTAATTTTTTTCTAGTAATTTATTTATAGAAAAGAGATTTAGTCTTCTAATCAGCTACTTGGAACTCTTTGTTAATATTTTCTACTCTATTGTCTTCTAATTAATAAAAATGAAGATGAATCCTAAAAGAAATACTGTCATTTAATTGTTTTCTAAATGAAAAGGAAAACATTACATCATATAAAGCTTAAGGATAAAACAAGTGTCTTTTGAATTCTACTGCTGAATATCATAATACAAAATCCTTAGCCTGGTGAATTTCATGATTTGGAAGAATATATTATAAATTAGGAGTAAAGAAATAAAATACATGTGTTATATAGTTCTTGATGTGTAACTGATGTTCAACAGAAAAATTATACTAACATTTTAAATACTGTTTTAATATTGTATAGCACATGGTTTCCTGAATAATGGTGAGAACTAAGGATTATTTAATTTTCTCAAAACAGGGTAGTTAACTATAGCCAAACAAGAGAAAGTAGATAATTGTTGATTGGCTATGAAGGCTGATATTATAACCAACATTTCAGTGAAGAGAAAATCAACAACCAAATTCTGTCAAGGCAACAAACTCACAAGTTTAATTCACAAATTAATAACAAATTTAACTGTTTGGTAATGGTGATGTATGCTAACGGAATTTTAAAAAAGTAATCATAGGCTTCTGAGGAATATGGTAAGATTTCTCAGGAGGCAGCAGTGCCTACATTATTCCTACTAAAATTTACAAAGAGCTCAGAAGGCACTATGTAGCAGACATTTTCTTTTTTGTATTAGCATGAAAGAAACATCATATTACTATCATTTGTACAGATGTTGCAAACAGAAAAAATAAATAGCTAAAATGTTTAAAAGCTACTTCTGCAAAGGCTAAATGCTGTAAAACTGCCACCAGAGATACACAGTGCCCATTATAATTACCATCCCACTTTGATTAAAGCAGTTTAAACTCCACAAGGACATGGATGTTTGTCTGTTTAATTTATTTATTAATCCTATGAACCTAGAATACTCCCTGGCACATAGTAGTCACACAATAAATATTTCTTGAATGAATGTATTAATCTGTAGACTAAAAAACATAAAACTAGACAGGCATGGGAATTTAAAAATGAAATTTTAGGTAGAATAGATAGTAAGATATAAACCAGGACAGAGATATCCTTAAGTAATCCTAGTTCAAAATTTAATTCAATGATTGTTCAAAGGAGGGAATAAAGGAATGCTCTGTCCCACTGCCTTAATTTAATGTGGAGCAAAATCAATTATATTTTGGAACTTCAAAAAAACATTATTGAGGTCATAAATTTTGGAGTTAAGTATGTAATATTGTTTAAAGTTCAAAAACTAGTGATTTAAACTATACCTTAATAAAACATAATTTGTAGTTTTGATAGTTAATACTAGAACTCCACTGTAGTGAAGACTGCATATGATGCAAAGCTATGACGCAGATCTAAACA
The DNA here is from genome assembly GCF_000001405.40 of Homo sapiens. Classification (NCBI taxonomy): domain Eukaryota; kingdom Metazoa; phylum Chordata; class Mammalia; order Primates; family Hominidae; genus Homo; species Homo sapiens. The sequence goes on along the minus strand of NC_000007.14, from coordinate 114,282,189 downwards.
TATATACATAAATACTAATTATAGCTAATCTACAACAGATTTATTCCATGAGTTTCTCAAATTATCCTTCTAATATCTTTGTAGAGTACTGAGGTAAAAGGAGATTCTTGAAAATTGCTAAGCATAGGTACTTTAATTACCACTGAGAACTTAAATTTGCTCTCTTTGAGCCACATTGAGTGAAACATGTAAGCATTATCTGTACAGAGTGGGGCCTATGTAAGCTTTATTCTTGCCTGACTGACCTACCCCTCAGTTAACAGTACCTGGATCTAAGAAAGTGGAGCCAATGATCCTTCAAGACTCTACCACATCCTAATAAATCCATTAAGAAGATACATTCACAGAAATAGAGATGAAATAAAACTGTACCTTGAAAAAAATTGGAGCCACAATGAAAATTAACCCTGCTGACATTATGGGTACAGTTTGAAACATATTTATTCAAGAATAGGACAATTGTGTTTTCAGTCAGTTTTATATTTATAAATTTCTTTCTAGCTTCAAGTTGGAAATACTTAAATATATATATTTTATTGGCAGATAATGTTCTGTCAGATAATGTAAAAATCAAAAATTAATCAATAAGCAGGCTAGTAAGAGTAATAGTAAAATGGAAGTTAGCAAGCAATCATCAAAGAAAAGTCTAATGCTGGGACAGTTAGTTGTAGGTTTCTGCCTTCTTGGATTTTACTCAGAGCAAAAGTAAGAGCTCCCTGATGGAACTGTTTAAAAATGCAATATCATATTTACACAAAACAGGTAAAAATACTTTAAAATCAAATTTCAGGCCAGGCACGGTGGCTCATGCCTGTAATCCCAGACTTTGGGAGGCCAAGGAGGGTGGATCACTTGAGGTCAGGAGTTTGAAATCAGCCTGGCCAACATGGTGAAACTCCGTCTCTAATAAAAATACAAAAATTAGCCGGGCATGGTAGCAGGCACCTGTAATGCCAGCTACTTGGGAGGCTGAGGCATGAGCATTGCTTAAACCCGGGAGGGGGAGGTTGCAGTGAGCCGAAATTACGCCATGGCACTGCAGTCTCAGCGACAGAGTGAGACTCTGTCTCAAAAAAAAAAAAAAAAAAAAAAAATTCAAATTGCATAAAAAGCCTTTCTCACCTTCAGTCATTGCAATTACTAAACATCTGTTATATACCAAGTTTATGATCTGCTAGAGAGACAGAGATAAAAGACACCCTAAGTGTTGACTATGCTTAAGGACAGGTTAAGCATGTAGTAAGTATGCTTTTAAGTGAATGATATTTTCCAAGGACAAGGATAGATCATAAGTTAAAATGTGATATCATGTAAGCAAAAGTAAGCACAGGGTAATACCAACTATAACAGCAATTTGTCCTGGGAAAATAATAATTATTTTTGAGGCAGGTAGAGAAAGTGACACACTTGTCTGAATCACAACCTAATACCCTTCTGAATTTCTCATGAGGTAATCAAAAGAATAATTATTATATTCTAATAGCCAAAGACTTTTAAGTATATTTAAATTTTTATCTGTTTTTTATAAAATATTACTGGCAATAAAATAATTTTGACGACATTTAAACTTAGACAAAGGCTTCTGTAGTTACTGTATCTCACTTTTCATAGAACAGAGTATAGCTTTTATAAAAAATGTTCATGCTAACTAGAACTGTCTGTTAAAATAATTATGAGAGCTATTAAAGTCACATAAACCATAAACATGTAAATGTACGCTACTATGATGAGCGAAGAATAATACATGTCTAAAATAACATAAATACTGTTTGGTATTTCCAATATCCTGTGGGAGAGAAAAAAATCACAGTGCTCTTGACACTGTCACTAAAAGTAATATATGAAAAATTGGAAAGAGGAAAAGAATTTCAGACAATAAAATTAAAGGATGAATTCTGATTCAAAGGTAAAAAAATTTTATAATCATAAGCAGTAAGTTAAACACAATTTCCTAGGTTAGAACAGACTGGACTTAATTCATTCTACGGGGGCATGTGCTCAGTTGAGGGCTCAAAAAATACACCAGCAAGTCAAGAAAAAAGAATTTCTTCAAAAACCACCTGTTTTTATTTATTTATTTATTTATTTATTTATTTATTTATTTATTTATTTGCCTGAGAGTCTGGTAGGACTAAATTAGAAAAAACCAGCAAAGAAAAATTCAGAAATGCTATTAGTAGAATTGCTAAAGCAGGTTTAAATAGACTCAGATTATACAGAATGGTCTCATTTTAGTTTCAAGTTCTTTATTGCAGTAAGATGCCTAAGCCTTAAAAAAATGCATCATATTTAAAGGTGCTTCATGTATTTATTTTATTCTCTCACCCCCTCCTGCCTCTGATCTTCCTTCCTTTCTTTCTTACATAAGAAAACAGGTAAGCTCATCACCTCTTCTATGCTAAGCAACAATGCTTTTTTTTTTTAAACTAATATAACAAGTTTAAGACATAAGCATTTATGATCATCAAAACAATTCACTGGATTACATTTTTTCATTTCCCTCTCTTATTTTCATTGACAAGAAGCTCTCATTTTCAGCAAAATAACAAAGTGATCAAGTGTGTAAACATGGCTTACAGAAGCAAGTATGCATTAATATGGATGAAAATGACTATGCAGCCACTTTCCTGCTGCTAGAGATGCTCTATCCATCTCTTGTCAAACTAGGGGAAATGTGACACAGGCAGTCTAGATAAGTAAAACTCCAACCTCACAGAAAGTATTTTCAAGTATGTGAAAAATAGGATATTGGGAGTTGCTGGATTTCCTAATCATCTGAGGAATAAATAACCACCACTATATAAGGACTCTGACAATTCTGAACAACTTCAGATTTTCATGTTCTATCAGTTGTTGAACAATCCCAATTCCAGATCCTTTCTTTGTGAAGTCTGTAGTCCTACTCTACTATCAGCTCTCTCAGCCTCTATCACAATATAATACATTTACCAGTAAGGAGCATCCTCTACACGTTAATGTTTTGTTATAAAAACGTTTCAAGGGTAACACCAGTATATTATCATCCAGGATATGGTATTTGTTTCAAAAATTCTGAATTAATATTAAAGCAATTTAAATTTATGAAACTCTGATTTCCTGCCTATCCACAGCTTCCTCAACACTTCCATTTTCTTGAATTAAAAGTTCTACCAACACCGAGGTACCTCCACCTTCTATTCTAATCTACCCATATAACCCAGAATTTATTTTTCATAAAATAAAAGCTCCTGAATGCAACTTGAATTGGGCAGTGTGCTGGGCAGTGTGCTGAGCAGTGCTTTAAAAAAAAAATCACTGGCATTGGCATGCACTGGGTCAGGCACTGGATTTTCTTCTGAGAGTCAGTTTAACTTCAGCAAAGTAAATGAAGACAGAACACAGGTTCAAAGGAGCTGAGGTTGGGTGAGAAAATATACTCACTTTACAGTACTTGGTTTAGAAAATATGCTCATTTTACAATACTGAGTCTTCTGTTCCAATTTTGCTTACTTCACAGATTTATATTCATCTACTGTATACATTTGTTAAAGTAAAATAGGTCAGTGCGGTGGCTCACGCCGGTAATCCTAGCACTTTGGGAAGCCGAGGTGGGTGGATCACCTGAGGTCAGGAGTTCAAGACCAGCCTGGCCAACATGGTGAAACCCCACCTCTACTAAAATACAAAAATTAGCCAGGCATGGTGGTGGGTGCCTGTAATCCCAGCTACTCGGGAGACTGAGAGGGGAGAAAGGCTTGAACCCAGAGACGGTGGTTGCAGTGAGCCTAAATCACACCACTGCACTCCAGCCTGGGTGACAGAGTGAGACTCCATCTCAAAAAAAAAAAAGTAAAACAACACAGGTATATGGCTTATGAAATGAAATGTTTTAACAGCTTGTTTGAATTTTCTTACATAATCTCATCTCTAACTCAATAGAAGGATGTATTATAATATAGATAATCCAAATTTCAGGCTGGCATTTTTAATGAATACATTTTTGCCTCTTTTCTCTTTTTTGTTCTTTCATTAACAGAAGTGAGCATCCTTTTTTAAACAGCTATTGCTTATATTGCTTATTTATTTAATTGTTGTTGAGAATAATTCTTACATCATCATTTGATTCTAGTATCTTACTTTATTCTATATCCCGGATGAATTCTTTTTTTTTTTTTTTTTTTTTTTAGACAAGGTCTCACTCTTTCGCCCAGGCTAGAGGGCAGTGACACGATCTCAGCTCACTGCTACCTCCACCCACCTGTTCAAGTGATTCTCCTGCCTTAGCCTCCCCAGTAGCTGGGATTTTAGACACATGCCACCATGCTCAGCTAATTTTTTATTTATTTATTTTTATTTTTAGTAGAGACGGGGTTTCACCATGTTGACTAGGCTGGTCTCCAACTCCTGACCTCAAGTGATCCATCCACCTCCGCCTCTTTCTGCTTTTTTAATCAAATAATAGTTACTTCTTCAGCAACATACAGTATAAAATAAAGCAAATTATCAAGGTCAATAAGTGATAAGATTTAAAAACAAAAAACTTACAACAGCATCATTAGTGTTAGAACTGAAAAAGATTGAAATTATGACTATATTGTTGAAAATTTTATAAAATATATATTTTTACTCAGATGAGAATCTGTAGGAAACTGGCTTGCAAGTGAAGTCAGGGGTTTGGTTTTTTTTAATGGTCTTTAGCCACTAGACTGTATCCAATATTTATAAAAAATCACGTAGGTATAAGCACTATGCTAGGAGCTGTCCAGATATCAAGCCAAAGAATGACAAGATGCTCTCTAGGTACTCAAAATAGTTAAAGGCATATCCCTGAAACGACGGTGGGCAATTCCAAACCCCACTCTCACAGTTTTCTGAATTGCCTTAAAGCATTCCTCACTGTGTTTCAAGTCAAACATGTTAGAAAATTGTTTTGGGGATACCCTTTTTAAAACCTACAGAAACATTATCAAAAACAAAAATAATAAAATTTGCAAACATATTCATTTAGCTACTGAAAATGTTTCTCAATGATTCAACCTTGCTAAACTCATCACCCAATATCAGTCCTTCTTACAAGAACTTTCCTGATGAGGTTAATTATTTGCCAGTGGGTTCCGACTTCTAAACCCCTCCATATCTGGTTTAGGAGCTCCTATGATAGAGGAGAAAACTAGTTGATCTCTTTAGGCAATCTTAATGCTGTATATACCATTTCAGACATTAATTTATCACCTCCACTATATATTTTTACTTCCAAAACTTCCATAGTATTATTAGATTAATAAAGTTTTATTGAGATGTCGAGATACAGTGTGTTTTTAAAAACATAAGCTGACTTCTGGTTTCTAATTCCACATGTAAGGAGCTTGGGAGTCACCACTCCACCCTAACAAGAAGTAAAAAGCTGAACAGGCTGAAAAATCAATTCTTCCAAGATCTGTAAGAGAGGTCAGGATGCAGTGCAAACCACTGGCCCCAGGACTGAAGAGGTAGACAATAAAACCAAGGAGTCCTATCATGACCACTATGGGAACCAGTACCAGAACAGGAAAACCTGAGCTGTAATTGATGCCTTGATGGAATTTCAGTGAGGACAATCCTAAAAGGATAACTCCAGGGGGACCCAGGTATACTCCCCCACCAGCTTGTCCATTATGAATGGATTTTCACAGTAGATATCAAAGAAACATCACTTCAAGTTTCCAGCAGGGGGAGGGGAAAAAGAACCATTTAAAAATATGCCAGTGGCCGGGTGTGGTGGCTCATACCTGTAATTCTAGCACATTGGGAGGTTGAGATGGGTGGATCACCTGAGGTCAGGAGTTCGAGACCAGCCTGGCCAACATGATGAAACCCTGTGTCTACTAAAAATACAAAATATAAAAATTAGCCAGGCATGTTGGTAGATGCCTTTAATCCCAGCTACTCGGGAGGCTGAGGCAGTAGAATCCCTTGAACCAGGGGTCAGAGCTCACAGCGAGCCGAGATCACACCAATTCACTCCAGCCTGGGTGAAAGAGTGAGACTCTGTCTCAAAAAGTAATACATAAATAACAATAAAAATATGCCAGAGCACTCTGTTCTTCTCAACAAGCCTTGATCTCAGGAGAGACTAGTTAACCAGAGCCTACCCCGCTGGGATAGTATCACATTATCAAAAACTAATTGATCTGAAGGAAAGGAAATATTCAACTCTAGTCAGCTCTTGCCTTCCATTTAAGAGAAGAAATGCCCAGCTCCAACCCAAGCTAGCCATCCTCTCCCACCTAAGGGGTGAGGGGGAGAAAAAACTGAAAAACACTTGTGAAGTTCACAATCAAAAGTCATAAGCTCACTAAAAGACTGAGGCCTAATCCTAGAACTATAGAATGCTTTCTGTCTTCCCAAACCTCACCATCACATTACTAAAGGCCCATTTACAGCAGTTTCTTTTGCCAAGTACATCATGTCCAGCTATCAAGAAAACATTACAAGGCATATCAAAAGGCAAAAATCATAATTTGAAAGGACACCTGAATCAGACATGGCAGGTATATTGGAATTATCAGACCAGGAATGTAAAACAACTATTATGAAAACTATGGTTAATGTGCTAAGCGCTCTAATGGATAAAGAAGACAGTACCCAATAACAGATGGGCAATAGAAGCAAAGAGATGGAACTCCTAGGAAAGAACAACAACAAAAAACAAACAAAAAGAAAACTAGAGATTTAAAAAACTGCTGTAACAGAAATGAAGGCTTACTAGTAGACAGGACACAACTTATTGGTAAACTGGATGCAGCTGAGGACAGAATCTCTGCACTTGAGGATATCTCAGTAAACACCTCTAAAACTAAAAAGCAAAGAGAATAAAGATTAAAGAAAACAAAACAGAGTATTTAAGAACTGCGGGAAAACTACACAATGTCTAATATACACATAATGGGAATACAAGAGGAGAATAGAGAGGGAAAGAAACAGAATAAATATTCTACACAATAATGACAGAATTCCGCCAAAATATTGTCAAACACTAACCCACAGATCCAGAAAACTCAGAGAACACCAATTAGAATAAATGTCAAAAAACTACACCTAAGTTTATAATTCTCAAACTACAGATACTCAAAGAAAAAGAAAAAAAAAGTCCTGAAAAAATAAAGAGGAAAAGAACACCTTACTTATACAGAAAAAAAGATAAGAATTACATCTAATTTCTCCCTCATAAGCCATGCAAGCAAGGAGAGAGAATAGAATGAAATATTTAAAGTGTTGAGAGGGGCCAAGCATGGTAGCCTGCAATCCCATCACTTTGTGAGGCTGAGGTGAGCGGATTGCTTGAGACTAGGAGTTCCAGACCAGCCTAGGTAACATGGTGAAACCCCATCTCTACAAAATACAAAAACAAAAAAACAAAAAAACAAACAAACAAAAAACATAAAAAAACTAGTCGGGCATGGTGGTGCATGCCTGCAGTCCCAGCTACCTGGGTGGTTGAAATGGAAGGATCACTTGAGCCCAGGGAGGTCAAGGCTGCCTTGAGCCGAGATCGTGCCACTGCACTCCAGCCCAGACAACAGAGTAAGATCCTGCCTCAAAAAAAAAAAAAAAAAAAAAAAAAAAAAGCTTTGAGAGGGAAAAAACCAATCCAGAATTCCATACCCTGTGAAACTATCCTTCAAAAGTGAAGGAAAAATATTTTATAAGACAAATAAAAACGGAAGGAAATTGTTTCCAGTAGACCTGCCTTCCAAGAAATGTTAAATTCTTTAGCTAGAAGGACAATAATACAGGTCAGACACTCAGATTTACATAAAGAAAGGAAGAGGATAATAGAAGGAATAAGAGAAGGTAAAATTAAAACTTTTATTTTTCTTATGCTTAATTGATCTAACATATAACAGTTCATTCAAAATAATCTCAATGTACATATCTCATGTATATGTGTATATATGCTTATGCATGCTTATATATAAGCAAATTGAATGACAGTAGTAATACAAAGAATGGGAGAGGTGAATTACAATTGTTTTCATAAGGTACTCACACTACCCATGAAGTGGTGTAGTGTTACTTGAAAGTGGACTTGGATTAGTTGTAAGTCTATATTGCAAACTATGGGACAATAATAAAAAGAAAAAAAAAGAACTGACATGCTGAGAAAGAAGAAAAAATAAAATTATATAAAATCTTTAAAATCACAAAAGGCAGGAAAAAATGGAAGAAAAATAGGAACAAAGAACAAGGACAACAAATAGAAAACTGTAATAAATATGGTAGATATTACTCCAACAGAATATCAATGGTCTAAATGCACCAACTAAGACAGAGATTGTTAAACTGGACCAAAAAATAAGATCAAATTATTTGTTGTCTACAAGGAATGCACTTTAAATAAATATAAAGACACATATAGATTAAAAGTAAATGGATAAAGAAATATAGCATGCTAACACTCATCAAAAGTAAATGGGAGTATCTATATTAATTTCAGACATAGCAGACTTCAAAGCAAGGAAAGTTTTCAGAGATAAAAATAGTGTTAAAGGGGTCAATTCTCTAAGAAGACAACAATCCTTAATATGTATGTACCTAACAACAGAGCAAGAAACTATGTGGGGGTGGAAATTGATAAATTGGCAAGAAAAAACTGATGAATCTACTATTATAGTTAAAAACTTCAACACTCCTCTATCAAAAATGGGCAGATCTATCAGGCAGAAAATCAGTAAAGACATAGTTGAATACAACACCATCAATCAACTGGATATAAGTAACATCTGTAGACTACATGAGACGGCCAATAATACCAGCAGAATACTCATTCTTCTCAAGCTCACATGGGAACACTCACCAAGATAGACTACATTCACAGTCATAAAACACATCTTAACAGATTTTGAAAGAATTGAATCCAAACAACATCTGCTCTCAGATCACAAAAGCATTAACCTAGAAATAAACAACAGGAAGATAACTAAAATTCCCAAAATATGTAGAGATTAAACCACACACTTCTAAGTAACACACAGGTCAATGAAGAAACCTCAAGAGAAATTTAATAACATTCTGAACATAGAGAAAATGAAAATATAACTTATCAAAATGTGTGGGATAAAGTAATATCAGTGCTCAGAGGAAAATTTATCATATTAAATGCAATATTAGAAAAGAAAAAAAGATATGAAATCCATGACCTATGTTTGCTCTTTGGGAAACTAGAAAAAGAATGTCAAATTACATCCAAAGTAAGCAAAAGAAAAGAAATAATAAGGATTAAGAAATAACTTAATGAAATTGAAAACAGGAAATAAATAGAAAAAATCAACAAAAGTAAAAATTAATTCTTTGAAAAGATCAGTAAAATTGAGGCGCCTTTATCCAGACTCCATAGAAAAAAGTAAGGACACAAATTACTAATATCAGAAATCACTACAGAGGAGAGAAATCACTACAGATACCATGGATGTGAGAATAATAATAAAGAAATATTATCAACAATTCTATGCCCAGAAACTTAATACCCTAATGGATGAAAGTCTGAAAGACACAAACTGCCAAACAACTCTATGCCCAGAAATTTAATACCCTAATGGATGAAAGTTTGAAAGACACAAGCTGCCAAAACTCATATAAGAAGAAATAAATAACCAGAATAGGCCTATGTCTATTAAAGAAATTGAGTCAATAATTAATTACCTCCCAAAATAGAAAGCACCAGGCCCCTGTTGGTTTGCTGGTGAATTCTACCAAACTTTTAAGGAAGAAATTATACCAATACTCTACAATTTCTTTCAGAGGATAGAAGTGGGAGAAATACTTCCTTCCTCATTTGATGAAGCCAGCATTACCCTAATACCAAAACCAAAGATATTACAAGAAAAGAAATCTACAGACTAATCTCTCTCAGGAACACAAATTGCAAAAATCTTCAACAAAATATTAATAAACCAAATCCAATATTGTGTAAAAATTATATACCATTACCAAGTGGGATTATCTCAGGAATGTAAGGTTGGTTCAACATTCAAAAATCAATTAATATAACCCATCACAACAACATACTAAAGAATCACACGATCATATCAATAGATGCAGAAAAGCATTTGACAAAATCCAACATCCATTCATGATTTAAATATATATATTATATATGTATTTATATATTTTATATATTTATACATATTTATATTATATTATTATTTATTAATATTATAATTATAATATTACATATTATATATTATATATAATTATATTATATATAATTAATATAATAATAAATACAATATATTAATATTATAATAATTATATTATAATTATATTAATAATTATATTAATGTTTATAATTAATAATCATATTATAATGTTTTAATAATTATTTAATAATATTTATATATTTCATATATTTATATTATATATAAATATAAATAATATGACATACATTTATATATAAATAATATATTAAATAATATATATTTAATGCATATGTATTTAATATATATTTAATACATATGTATTAAATAATATATTAAATATATTATTAAATATAATTTTAAATAATATATTTAATAATATTTATAATAATTAATAATTATATTAATAATATAATTATTTATTATATATTAATATTATATTATAATAATATTAATATATAAATTATATTATATATTATATATTATAATATAATTATAATAATATAATAATTATATTAATATTATATTATTAATATATTTATATAAATATATATATATAAATCCTCTCAGTAAACCAGGAATAGATGGGAACTTCCTTAACTTGATAAAGAACATCTATGAAATCCCGACAGCTAACATACTTAATTGTGAGAAATTCAAATCCTTCCTACTAATATCCATTGCAAGGCAAGCATGTCCCCACTCACCACTCCTTCTCAACAGTTTATTGGAAGTTCTAGCAAACATGGTAAGACAAATAAAAGAAAGAAAAAGTATACATATTGGGAAAAAATAAAATAAAACTCTCTTTGTTTGCAGAAGACATGATTGGCTGTGTAGAAAATCTGAAAGAATCAGCAAAAATACTCCTGGAACTAATAAGTAATTACAGCAAGGTGAAAGAACTGACAAATAAATAAATGGAACAAAATAGATAGCCTAGAAATAGACCTACATAATTATGTCAATTTAACTTTGATAAAGGAACAGAAGCAATACAATGAGCAGAGATGGTCTTTTCAACATGTGGTGCTAGAACAACTAGACATCCACATACAAAAAAAAAATGAATTGAGACACAGACCTTTAACTCAAAATGGATCATAGCCCTAAATGTGAAAATAATATAGAAATCCTAGATGACCTTAGGTATAGTGATGATTTTTTAGATACCAAAGCATGATCCATGAAATAAATAACTGATAAAGTGGACTTCATTAAAACTGAAAACTTCTGCTCCATAAAAACACTGTCAAGACAAAAGAATGGGAAGATAAGCCACAGAATGGAGAAAATATGTGCAACAGACACATTTAATAAAGGACTGTTAAGCAAAAATACACAAAGAATTCTTAAAACTCAACAATAAGAAAAAAACTCAATTAAAAACTGGGCCAAAGATCTTAACAGACACTTCAACAAAGAAGATACACAGATGGCAAATGAGTAAATGAAAACATGCTTAACAACCTATGTCATCAGGGAAATGCCAAATAATCAGATACCACTACATATCTATTAGAATACCCAAAATCCAATACACTGGCAACATCAAATGCTGACAAGGATGTGGAGCAACAGAAACCTTCATTCATTGTTGGTGGGAATGCAAAATTGCATGGCCACTTTGAAAGACTGTGGCAGTTTCTTACAAAACTAAGGACACTCTAATCAAAGGATCTGAATATTGTGCTGTTTGGTATTTAGCCAAATGAACTGAAAATTTCAGTCCAAACAGAAGCATGAAGACAGATGCTTATAGTAGCTTTATTCATAATTACCAAAACTTGGGGGCTAGCAAGATGTCCTTCAGTAGGTAATTGGATAAATAAACTGCAAAATATACACACAATTGAGTATTATTTAGCACTAAAAGAAATGAGTTATCAAGCCATGGAAAGACATGGAAAAACCTTAAACGTATATTATTAAGTGAAAGAATGCTCATTTCTTTGCATTCTGACTGATCAACATTTTTCTTTTTGATTTCTTATTTGTTTTCTAAAAGTTGAGCACAGAGTATTCATTATCCTGAGGCCGAGAATTTCTGGATGAATGTGGTTAAATCACTGGAACAATAAAGCAAGACAGTTAAGAAAAGCACCTGGCACAAAGTAAGCACTTTAAATATTTGTTTGAAGAATCAATGATGGAGAGGTCATTACTTTGCAAACATAGAGCTCTAGTGATAAAAATGAAGTAATCTTTGATACAAAATTGTAAATTTATCCTTTTTACTGAGGGTGGGGTGTGGAGGAACATAATTCTGAAGTGCATGTCCCATTGATAATGATTAACAATAAACAACAGAATCACCAGGTAAATGAATTGTGTTGAGTCTTTTAAGAGACTCACAATAGTAGAATCATAATTTAATAATATAAAAGTAAATTTTTAAACAAGCAAAACAGAATCATGTTATTTATACATTAAATAAAAACTGCTGGCCAGGCACAGTGGCTCACGCTTCTAATCAGAGCACTTTGGGAGGCTGAGACTGGAGGATTGCTTTAGCCCAGTAATCCAAAGCTGCAGTGAGCCAGGATCATGCCACTGTACTACAGCCTGGGTGACAGAGCAAGACTGTGTCTCAAAAACAAACAAAAAAAGATTTAATTCAAGAATAGCATGTACTAATAAACAAGGAAAAGAGCTCCTTAAACTACCACTTTCACTTTTTCATTTAGAATTTTTAGTTTTCTTTACAAACGCAAAATACTTCCATGTTTAAGGCATTTTAATTACAAATAATTCTTTTTCTGTCTATCTCTATTCAAAATATCAACAATATGACTACCCTCTAAACAATTTACATTTATATTCAACCATATATTGGCCTCCTGCTATATACCTTCATGAGGACCCTAAACTCTAAGCCGTATCAAATTGTTTGTCCAACACCTCTCTGTATCTTGTGCATAAAGTATAGGCCCTATTTGTTTACTTAGCTAGAATACTCAGTTATAAATGACATGATTTCTTCAGGTGAAACAAAGAAAATGTCTTTATAATATATTCAGCTAGCCTCAGGAAAATCAAACTTTTATAACTGATAATTAATATACAGTAAACATACTGGACTAGTGTTGTCTTTATATGATGCCTTTATTTAATATGTAATTGATCTGATTTGTTCAAAATAAGGACAATATTTTCCTGATTGACTATATTTCCTTTAAAATATAGATTCAACAAAATACATTCTCAGAAAAAGCAAAACTTTCTTTTTCATGCCTCTAATAATTTAGTGTTACTAATCTATGGCAGAGGAAACCCAGAAACGATTAACGGAAAATACACACATACACACACACACACACACACACACACACACAGTGGGGAGTATAGACTTCACCAATCGTCAGAGTGAGTAGTAGCACTAACAGAACACGCTAAAGAAACAACACTTTGAGAACATCAGGAGCAACAGCTTTAGAATTACAGCCCTAGTAAGAAGGATCTCACTATCCTAACTTGCCACACTATTGCTTAAGACACTATATTACAACATACTCTATCTTTCCTAAAGAAGAAAATCTAACACAAAATTTGTATGGATATTTGAGTGGTAGTTTTTAAAATGTGAGCATTTTTGTACTTAATCTGAGTTTGTAGTCCAAATTTATGTTTCACTAAATTCTAATATGCCCTAATATTATCCTATGTATGAGCAAATTCCCTCTTGCACAAATACTCATAATCACATTATGACTTTAATTCCATGTCCTACCAAGTAACCCCTAAGTACATGTTGCTGAGTTGATTATAAGTTCCACACATGAAAAAATATACTCAAAATTTACATGTTCATGTCCACAGAGGATAAATGGATAAATAAAATGTGGTATGTACATACAATGGAATATTATTTAGCCTTAAAAAAGAAATTCTGACATATACTATGTCCTGATGCTTGTTTACATGGATGAACCTTGAAGACATTATGCTGAGTAAAATTAGCCAGTTCACAAGAGGACAAATATTGTGATTCCACTTATATGAAATACATAGAGTAGTCAAATACATGGACACAGAATGGAGAATGGTGGTTTTTAGGGACTTGAGAGAGAAGGAAATGAGAAGTATATTATTGCTTAATGGGTACAGTATTTCAATTTTGGAAGATAAAAAAATTTCTGGAGATACATGGTTGTGACAGTTGCATGACAGTCTGAATGTGCTTAATGACATTGAACCATACACTTAAAAATTGTTAAAATGATAAATGTTTTATATATACATATATATTTATTTTATTTATTTATTTATTTATTTATTTATTTATTTATTTATTTATTTATTTATTTTTGAGATGGAGTCTCGCTCTGTCTCCCAGGCTGGAGTGCAGTGGCACAATCTTGGCTCACCGCAACCTCTGCCTCCTGGGTTCAAGTGACTCTCCTGCCTCAGCCTCCCGAGTAGTTGGGACTACAGGCACCCACCACCACACCTGGCTAATTTTTGTACTTTTAGTAGAGGCAGGTTTTCACCGTGTTAGCCAGGATGGTCTCGATCTCCTGAACTCGTGATCTGCTTGCCTTGGCCTCCCAAAGTGCTGGGATTACAGGCATGAGCCACTGTGCCCAGCCTATATTTTACTACAATTGAAAAAGAAGTACATTAACATATTCATGTAAGAGCGAATATCTAAAAATAAGATATTTTTAGGCTAATACGGAATAGTAAATGAATAGTAAATGAAAGTAATGGAAGATGTTCTTTGAATTTGGCGATACTTGCAAAAAGTTGTTCATAAGCTTTTTCTAGGAAAGGTAATAAAGAAAAGACTTAGTAAAGGCTGCTTTCTTTAGGATCTAGAAAGCTGGCATTTTGAAGGGTTGAGAGGATAATTTTTTCAATCTTCAGTAAGTCTACAGGGTACATGCTCTATAGAAAGCTCTTGGCAAGAAGAATAGGATTTGGCGCATGCAGAATTTTCATTTTAAGAATAACTTCTTCTCTAAAGCATTTTCTGATATCCCATTTCTTTAGAAGATTTGCTCATTTGTTTTTTTCCCTCCTTCCAATGAACTCTATTCAAACGTTTTATAACATGTTGTAAGATGATTACAACACTAATTTGTTTACATTTTTATCACCTACTATAAGACATTAAGCTCCTCGAGGGTCTTTCAAACATTTAGCTCACAGTTGGCACTACATAAATTTTTGTTCAATGAACTAATAGCTGAACAAGTGAACAATTTTATATATCAAACAAATAAGTACTGAGTGTCTATCCTAAAATATATGAAGTTCAGTGGAAATAACAAAGCTCAAAAATTATATGGTCCCTGATTCAAGGTATTAAGCAAATCCAGTAATCCTCCTGTTATAGTTTGGATGCCCCGCCAAAATTTCATGTTGAATTGTAACCCCCAGTGTTGGAGGTGGGGCCTATTGGGAGGTGTCTGGGGGCATAAGGATGGATTCCTCATATCCCGATGCTGTTCTTAGACACTGAGTGAGTTCTCATGACATCTGGTGGCTTATAAGTGTGTGGTACTTCTCCCCAACTCTCTCTCTTGCTTCTGCTTTTGCCATGTGAAATGCCTGCTCCTGCTTCACTTTCCACCATGAGTAAAAGCTCCCTGAGGCCTCCCAGAAGCTGAGGAGATGCTGGCACCATGCTTCCTGTACAGTCTGCAGAACAATAAGCCAATTAAACCTCTTTATAAATTATCCAGTCTAAGGTATTTCCTCTATAGCAAAGCAAGACCTGCCCTAACAGAGAACATTGGCACCAGGAGTTTTGCTATAAAAATACCTGAAAATGTGGAGGTGACTTTGGAACTGGGTAATAGGAAGAGGTTGGAAGAGTTTGGAGGGCTCAGAAGAAAACAGGAAGATGAGGGGAAATTTGGAACTTCTTAGAGACTGGTTAAATGGTTGTGACCAAAATGCTAATAGTGATATGGACAGTAAAATCTGGGCTGATAGGTCCAGTTTTTTGTTTTTTTTTTCATTGAAGTGCTAATATTCAAGACAATGGACAAAAAGCTACTAGGGCATTTCAGAGACCTTCACAGCAGCCTTTCCCATCACTAGCTCTGAGGCCTAGGAGGAAAAAATGAATTTGGGGGTTAGGGCCTCTATTGCCCTGCACAACCTCAGGACACTGCTTCTCGAAACCAGGCCACTCAAGCTCCAGCCTCGGCTCAGGGGACCTGAAGTACAGCTTGGGCTGCTGCCATTAAGGTGGAAGCCATAATCCTTGGCAGGTTCCCTGGGGTGTTAAGCCTGTGGGTGCACAGAGTGCAAGAGTTAAGGAGGTTTGGCAGCCTCCACCTACATTTCACAGGATGTCTGAGAAAGCCTGGGTGCACACACAGAAGCCCACTGCAGAGGCAGAGTCCCCACCGAGAACCTCTACTAGGGTTGTTTCAAGGGGAAATGTGTGGTTGGAGGCCCCACACAGAGTACTCACTAGGGTACTGCCTAGTGGAGCTGTGGGAAGGGGACCACCATGCTCCAGACCCCAGACTGGTAGAGCCAGCAGCAGCTTACGCCCTTTGCCTGGAAAAGCCACACGCACTCAAAAACCTGTGAGAGCAAGCGCAAGGGCTGACCCCTACAATGTCACAGGGGAAGAGCTGCCCAAGGCCTTGGGAGCCCACCACTTGTATCAGTGTGCCCTGGATGTGGGACATGGAGTCAAAGGAGATTATTTTGGAGCTTTCAGGTTTAATGACTGCCCTGCTGGGTTTCAAACTCACCTGAGACCTGTAGCCCCTTTCTTTTGGCTGATTTCTCCCTTTTGGAATAGAAATGTTTCCCCAATGCCTATACCCCCATTGTATCTTGGAAGTAAATCACTTGTTTTGTATTTTATAGGCTCATAGGTGGAAGGAACTTGCCTTGTCTCAGAAGAGACTTTGGACTTTTGAGTTAATGCTGAAATGAGTTAAGACTTTGGGGAACTGTTGGGAAAGGCATGATTGCATTTTACAATGTAAGAAGGACATGAGATTTGGGAGGGGCCGGGGCAAAATCATACAGGTTGGATGCCCTGCCCAAATCTCATGTTCAATTATAATCCCCAATGTTGGAAGTAGGGCCTGGTGGGAAGTGCTTGGGTCATGTGGGAGGATCCCTCATGGCTTGATGCTGTCCTGGCATAGTGAGTGACTTCTCATGAGATCTGGTCATTTAAAAGTATGTGGCACATCCCCTCCCCACCCCGCACACTCTCTCTCTTGCTCTTGCTTTCACTATGTGACGGGCCTGCTCTTGCTTCGCCTTCCCCCATGAGTAAAAGCTCCCTGAGGCCTCCCCAGAAGCTGAGCAATGTTGGTTGCATGGTTATACAGCCTGTAGAATGGTGAGCCAATTAAACCTCTTTTCTTTATAAATTGCTCAGTCTCAGGTATTTCTTTATAGTAACTCAAAAACAGCCTAACACACCCCCAAATAGGTTAATACTACAAATATCATTTTTAAAAGATACAAATAAAGTACTACAGGTAATATGTGTAAACAAGAATAATCACACACTATTGTGGGTGAAGGAGAAGATCAGGAAAGGCTTGATGAGGAGTTAACATTTGGCCCAGACATTAAAGTGCAGACGTTGTTTAAATAGGGGTGGGAGGGAAAACATGAGCATATTTGTGTAAAAACAACAATGGCATAGTAACAGTAAGTTACAACAGAAGTTCTCAAACCTTTGGTCTCAGGTCACCTTTACACTTTTAAAATAAGAATCCTGCCCCCCATGAAAAAACTTCTATTTTTGTGAATGACCTGTATCTGTACTTACTGTATTCAACTGAGAAATTTAAAAATCACACATACATTCCATTAGTCATCAGAGTAATGACATCATCAAACATCTTTAGCCTCTGGACAGCTCTCTGGTATAATCATACTAGAATAAGGGTGAAGAGAAGTAAGGCAAATAACATATTAATATAAGTATTAAAGAGTTTTGACCTCACAGCCACCTTGACAGGGTCTTAGAGAAACCCTAGACACACTTTCAGAACTCCTGGGCGGCAGCGTAAAAAGGTGAGAGTAAGGAAGCTAAACAGGCAAAGCTAGAATACATCCAGTGTTCCTGAAGGCCAAGCTAAAGATTTTAAAACACACAAATATTAAAGGCTTTTTTCTAAAAATAAGTCATATAATTGTGAGCTGACTTTAGAAGGATTCATTTAGGACACAAATAGGTGAGGAAGCATGGGAATGCAAACTAGAAGCCAGCTCGAGGCCGACAGAGTGTATACCAGTATAACTGTTATGGTTCCTTTAAAATGCCTGTATTTTCTTTCTTGCAGGGGAGAATGCTGCAAGAAAGAAAACACAAGCATTTTAAAGGAACCATAACAGTTACAAAGAATCAGGAGACAATGCAGGATGGTATAGGAGGCCAAAGGAAGAATACATTTCAAGGTGGGACTGATTAAGAAAAGAACATCAGCCAGGCACAGTGGCTCACGCCTGTAATCCCAGCACATTGGGAGGCTGAGGTGGAAGGAGCATTTGAGCCCAGGAGTTCAAGGTTACAGTGAGCTATGATCACAGCACTAAACACCAGTCTGGGAAACGCAGCAACACCCGGTCTCAATAAACAAAAACACCAAAAAAGGAAAGGAAAGGAAAGGAAAGGAAAGGGAAAGGGAAAAGGAAAAAGGAAAAGGAAAAGGAAGAAAGAGGGGAAGAAGGAAAGAAAATTGAAAAAAAAAAAGAAAAAGAAGTCATAAAGGAATTGGTAATCTATAATAGAGGAGTGTTTATGATTGACCAGATTTCAAGAAATTAAGGGGAAAATGGAAGATGAGGCAGTTCTGGCATAAGCAAAGATAACTCATTTGCAACTCTGATAATAAAATAAAGGATAGTGAGCAATTCCTTTGATTTGAAACTGAATAAAAGAATTGGTGATGAGGAAAATATTAAGGACAAAAGGATTGACAATGGAGCAAGGTTTCAGGGAAGCTGGGAGAAAATTAGGTCAAAGAAATATAAAGAGTTGTTTGTCAAAAGAAAAGACCCTTCTTTACTGTGCAACAGAGCTAAAAGGAAAAAGGTTAGCTAAGAGTGTAGGGAATTAGTGGATAAGAGAAAAATGAGCAGAGGAATGCACTGAATGGGCATTATGGAATTTGGCAGAGAGGGGATACTATGTAGACATAAAACTAAGGTAAAAAGAAAAGTAGAAATTAAAGAAAAACCTAAAAATAAATTTTATTTACCATGAGTGTGCATGATCAACAAGGATGAAAGAAGACCACAAGTTAAAATTCCAATATTCCAACTGGAATGCAAATAAATTCCTCAGGTGGGTGGAAAGAAAGAAGAAATGTTGCCTTACACTAGACCTGCATTGTCTAATATTGGTAGGTTCTAGCCAAATGTGATTCTTTAAATCTAAATTTGTTAAAATTAAATCAAACTTAAACATCAGTTATTTGACAGATTTCAAGTACTCAGCAACCCTGTGTGGCTAATGGCTACCATACTGAACTATGTAGATTGTGAACATTTCTTTTTTTAAAAAAAATCTCTTATTTTAGATTCAGGAAGTATATGTGCAGGTTTGTTACCTGGGTATACTGAGTGATGCTGAGGTTTAGGGTATGAATGATCCCATCACCCAAGTACTAAGCATAGTACCTTTTATTTAGTACTGTCACCTAGGCTGGAGTGCAATGATGTGATCATAGCTCACTCCAAGCCTCAAACTCCTTGGTTCAAGTGATCCTCCCACCTCAGCCATCCAAGCAGCTGAGATTACAGGTACATACCACCATACCTGGGTAATTTTTAATTTTTTGTAGAGATGGGGCCTCACTATGTTGCCCAGGCTGGTCTTGAACTCCTGACCTCCAGCAATCCTGCCTCCTAGACCTCCCAAAGTGCTTGGATTACAGGCATGAGCCACTGTACCCAGATGATAGTAAATATTTCTATCACAGCAGTAAGTTCTATCAGATACACCTGCCCTAGATGCATTTTTTTTGTTTTGTTTTGTTTTTGAGACAGAGTCTCGCTCTTATCACCCAGGCTGGAGTACAATGGCGTGATCCGGGCTCACTGCAACCTCCAGCTCCCAGGTTCAAGCAATTCTCCTGCCTCAGCCTCCCAAGTTGCTGGGATTACAGGTGGCCGCCACCACGCCCAGCTAATTTTTGTATTTTTATAGAGGCAGGCTTGCACCATGTTGTCCAGGCTAGTCTCGAGCTCCTGACCTCAAATTATTCAAACACCTCGACCTCCCAAAGTGCTGAAATTACAGGTGTGAGAATAAGGCCAATGTACTTATTCTAAGGATAGAAGATAATGTATTCTATACTATCTAGATTTAAGTACTTATTATGCATCAGACACCATGCTAATCACCTCACATATATAATTGCATGCAGTCCACAGAATGGTGTTTTGAGATAGGTTCTATAACCGTTTTATTTTACAGATGACAAACAGATGAGAGAAATAATTTGTTTTACATCACACTGTAGCAGAGGCAAGATTTAACTCCAGAGCTTTCTGACTCTAAAGACAGTTGAATTAGGAAGAAGCCTAATCTTTTAAACATTTTAAAAATGTTTAAAATCCTCGTACTTTTAACCTGAATAGTCTTTTCCTTAGATAATCAAAATACAATGAAACACGCAAGGAATAGGAGTGCAGAGGTAACATAAATAAATTAGTCAATAAAAATAAAATATTTATACAATATTGAAGTACAAACCTGAAACATTTTAGATTTGAAAGTGCAAAAAGTAAAGTTAGCATAGCGACTTTGCTACAACTTTATTAGTGAGTTCATGTCAGGTGGGAAAGTTATTGTTGCCATGGGAACTACAAGAATACTACCATTTTACACTTATATAACACCTTTCATTTGATGAGCTCAAAGAGACTTATAAACATTAATTCATTAATAGTCCTTTTTATTGAAAGTACATCAAAATTTACCTAATAGCATACAACAACAATTGTAAACCAAACAAAAGGGAACTTCATTGCTCTCTAACAGATACACATAGCTTATCCACCATCTACTACTATTTAAGAAGAAAGAAGTAGAGACAGTAATCTTATACAGACATTCACCTTTTTGTTTCATGTACCAAACCGAAACCATCTCCTATTGTTTTATTGTCAAAAATATGCAGCTCTTCTTCCACCCACTCGTTAATTTCTTTTTTCATGTGTTCGGTTAATTGCCTGGGAATATTTTTTTTTTAATGCCATTACATACACTTACCTGTGCAGCTCTAACCACTAAGATATTCACTAGCTTGGATCTGATAATTTATTTAAAAGATGTCTGAACTCATTTTAAATTGGAAAGAATAAACTGGAATATGAAAGGTGTGTGTGTGTTTGTGTCTAATTAAAAGTTTGAAAACTGAAAAGTAAAAAATCCTTAGTTGTTCATGCGTTTTTTTCTTAAATTATTAAAAGAAAATGTTTGTTTCAATATTCTAAAAACCTAACAAAATAGTAGGCTAGAAAATTTAGGTCAGGCCAACAGTCTATTCAGTCCAATTTTTTTTAAATAGAGTCATCTAAGGCTAATTTATGGGATTACAAATTCTTAGATAATTTTATGAAGCTGTCTTAAAAAAAAAAGTAACTTGCCACCAATAACTTACTAGGACCCATTAATCAATAATGGCGGCAGACGGTTTTCAAATTTGTATTTTTCAGTTGGCATACTTTACTATTTGCTGAGCTAATGTCATTTCTGATATATTCCATCAGTCAATTAATTCACAAGGCCATCCCTGATTCAAGGGAATGTAGAAATAGCCTGGGAGGAGCTGCAAAGTCACATTGGTTTTTTGGCGGTGTTGTTGTTGTTGTTATTGTTGTTTATGTAAAAAAAAAAAAAAAAGGCTGGGCGCAGTGGCTCACATCTGTTATCCCAGCACTTTGGGAGGCCGACACAGGTGGATCACCTGAGGTCAGAAGTTTGAACCAGCCTGGCCAACATGATGAAACTCTGTCTTTACTAAAACTACAAAAATTAGCCGAGCATGGAGGCACACACCCCGCTAATCCCAGCTACTCTGAAGGCTGAGGCAAGAGAACCGCTTGAACCTGGGAGATGGAGGTTGCAGTGAGCTGAGATGGCACCACTGCACTCCAGCCTGGGTGACAGAGCAAGACTCTGTCTCAAACAACAACAACAACAAAAATATACATTCAAGGATGGGAAGAATTTGTAGACATTTTTGCAACCTACCACAGAGAGAAATCTTTCTAAAATGTATTATGCCTAAACTTCTTATGAGTGATAATTTAGAATTTATTGCCTCAAGATTATTATCAGGAAAACCCATCATTAACAAGTGCATCATTTTACAGTTTTGTATATTAAGATTTATCTTTTTTCGCAATGTCATATTTCCAGCTATTATCACTGCTTCTGCTCGAATGTTCCCATCCAATCCTCTCCCAACACAAACACATATTTAACTTGCTTCTCCTGCTGAAAGCTTGTTTTATGACTGAGAAATCATATAACACAAAAACTGTCGTATACTCTGTAAACAACGGCTAATAAGAAGGTAGCAGATACTTCTGAGACTCAAACATCTTTCTCTGATTACTATTATGTTCTGGTTACATCTGTCATTCTAGTCAAAGAATCACTCTATATGAAAGATGGTATTATTAAAGAAATTTTCACCCTAGTAACTAATCTATTTTATAATGTTAGGTCACTGAACATAATTGGCCCATAATTTTTTAACAGCCTATTTCAGTGTAAACAACGTTAACATACTTAGAATAATTATCCTTTTTATAACCCAGTTTGCCTACAATATTTATTTATTAAGCATTTTGAGTTTTGAATTCTGTTGCTTTTCATCAATAACTTTTGCACCTCATTTGTATTCTTCCAGCTATTCTACTTCTACTGTTCATCGGTTGAAATGGTCATCAAAATGTAATAAGTTGATCGAAGACTCTCAGATATTACTTTAGAATATATTCCTTTTATGAAAGCTGCATCTGTATTTGACTTGGTAAGATAATAAATTCAAGAAAAGCCCAACTGGGACCTCTAACATACTCTTCTACAATATATGAATTTTATACTAAATAAGACTATAATATTCTCCTCTACAAGTGGAAACCACATCCCCATAGGAAATCGAGATGCTAAACTATTAATAGTTTACCCAGGTTTTCTCTGCCTACCATGGAACCTTAAACTTCATCACAGCCTAAGCACTGTAAAACATTATAATTTATGTTCATATAAATGAAACTCTCTAGACATTCTTCATCTTGTCTACTACTTAATGTTTCTGATGTTTTTAAGACAGAGAAGTTCTCTGCATTCAACCTGAGAAAAGACAATGTCAAAATAAATTTATATATCAAATAAATACTGTCAGAAGCATTGCTATAAGTCTGGTAATGTTTTAAAATGTTGTGCCAGTAAAATGAATAGTTATGATATGTAAAATTACTGATAGTGTTTTTTGTTTGTTTGTTTAATTTCAGGATGTGAATATCTACAATGTCCTTATTGCTCTTTTGAGATCCTTTGTTTCATTCTGTCATAAAGTTCTGGTGTTCCTGGGCCATTCCAGAACTCTGACATTAGCCTAGACCACAGCTCTAATCCTATGCTTTTCAAAAGGTGATCCTATAATACTATTTTTCTTTTTCACCAGATAATTGACATAATTGGTCAACTCCTAACCATCTCTTCCTTTGCATAGGAACATTAACCAATCATAGGATATCCACCAAACACAGTATAATGTAGGGATTAAGACACATAACCCACATGTACATCCTGTTTTTATAACTTGAAAATATATCCAGAATTCAGCTTCTTGAATTACCATCTGCCATTACCTGCACCACTACCAACTAGATCCAAGCCACCATCATTGCTAATGTGTATTATTGCCACAGCTTCCTAGTATTTCTGGTTTTGCCTTTGATCCCACTGTCTATTCTCAATACAGCAGCAAACATGATTATGTTAAAACAGAAACAAGATCATGTTTCAAAACTCTTCCCAAATTCCTATAATAGCTTTTACTTTATTTGGGGTTAAAAACCAAAGTGCTTATAATTGTCTAGAAATTCTAATAAGAGTTTGGGCCCTTCTCTATCTGGCTTCATTTCCTACTATTCCTCTTTCTCTTACTCCCTGGCCTCCTTGTTGTTCTTTAAGCATACAAAGCATGCTCCCATGTAAGGGAATCTGCATTTGCTCAAGGATTTCCCTGGAACATTTTTCCCCCAAAGCAACAGTTTATCTGGTTTGCTCACTTCCTTCATGCCTCTGCTTAAAAATGACTTTATGGCCGGGCACGGTGGCTCATGCCAGTAATCCAAGCACTTTGGGAGGCCGAAGCTGGTGGATCACAAGGTCAGGAAATCAAGAGCATCCTGGCTAACACAGTGAAACCCTGTCTCTACTAAAAATACAAAAAACTAGCCGGGCATGGTGGCAGGCTCGTGTAATGCCAGCTACTCGGGAGGCTGAGGCAGGAGAATCGCCTGAACCAGGGAGGCAAAGGTTGCAGTGAGCTGAGATCGTGCCACTGCACTCCAGCCTGGGCAACAGAGCAAGACTCCATCTCAAAAAAAAAAAAAAAAAAAAGAAAGAAAAGAAAAAAATGACTTTCATACAAAAGCCTTCTTTTGATGCTTTCATCATGAAATCTTTGCCTGTGCCTATGTCCTAAATGGTATTGCCTAGATTTTCTTCTAGGGTTTTTATAGTTTGGGGTTTTACATTTAAGTCTTTAATCATCTTGAGTTAATTTTTGTATAAGGTATAAGGAAGGGATCCAGTTTCAATGTTCTGCATATGGATAGCCAGTTCTCCCAGCACCATTTATTAAATAGGGAATCCTTTCCCCATTGCTTGTTTTTGTCAGGTTTGTCAAAGAGCAAATGGTTGTAGATGTGCTGTCTTATTTCTGAGTTCTCTATTCTCTTCCATTGGTTTATGTGTCTGTTTTGGTACCAGTACCATGCTGTTTTGTTTACTGTAGCCTTGTAGTAAACTTTGAAGTCAGGCAGCATGATGCCTTCAGCTTTGATCTTTTTGCTTAGAATTATCTTGGCTATGTGGGCTCCTTTTGGTTCCATATGAATTTTAACATAGATGTTTCTAATTCTGTGAAGAATGTCAATGGTAGTTTAATGGGAATAGCACTGAATCTATAAATTACTTTGGGCAGTATGGCCATTTTCACTATATTGATTCTTTCTATCCATGAGCATGGAATGTTTTTCCATTTGTTTGTACCCTCTCTGATTTCCTTGAGCAGAGTTTATAGTTCCCCTTGAAGAGGTCAAAAACAATTGCAACAAAAGCAAAAATTGACAAATCGGATCTAATTAAAGTAAAGAATTTCTGCACAGCAAAAGAAACTATCATCAGAGTGAACAGCTAACCCACAGAATGGGTAAAATATGTTTGCAAACTATCCATCTGAAAATGGCCTAATATCCAGAGTCTACAAGAAACTTAAGCAAATTTACAAGACAAACACAAACAACCCGATTAAAAAGTGGGCAAGGACATGAACAGACACTTCTCAAAAGAAGACATTTTTGCAGCCAACAAACAGGAAAAAAAGCTCAACATCAATGGTCATTAGAGAAATGCAAATAAAAACCACAAAATATACCATCTTGGCTGGGCATGGTGGCTCACACCTATAATCCCAGCACTTTGGGAGGCCAAGGTGGGCGGATCACCTGAGGTTGGGAGTTTGAGACCAGCCTGATCAACATGGAGAAACCCTGTCTCTACTAAAAAAATACAAAAAAATTAGCCAGGCATGGTGGCACATGCCTGTAATCCCAGCTACTCGGGAGGCTGAGGCAGGAGAATCACTTGAACCTGGGAGGCAGAGCTTGCAGTGAGCCAAGATTGTGCCACTGCACTCCAGCCTGGGTAACAAGAGCAAAACTCTGTCTCAAACAAAAAAAAAGACACTATCTCATGCCAATCAGAATGGCAATGATTAAAAAGTGAAGAAACAAGAGCCTGCTGTTGAGGTTGTAGAGAAATAGGAATACTTTTACACTGTGAGTGGGAATGTAAATTAGTTCAACCATTGTGGAAGACAGTGTGGTGATTCCTCAAAGACCTAGAACCGGGGCGGTTCCACGATGGCCGAATAGGAAGAGCTCCAGTCTACAGCTCCTAGCGTGAGCAATGCAGAAGATGGGTGATTTCTGCATTTCCAACTGAGGTACTGGGTTCATCTCACTGGGGCTTGGCAGACAGTGGTTGCAGGACAGTGGGTGGAGCACACCGAGTGTGAGCCAAAGCAGGGTGAGGCATTGCCTCACCCAGGAAGCACAAGGGTCAGGAATTTCCCTTTCCTAGCCAAGCGAAGCTGTGACAGATGGCACCTGGAAAATTGGGTCACTCCCACCTTAATACTGCGCTTTTCCAATGGTCTTAACAAACGCCACACCAGGAGATTATATTGCCCGCCTGGCTCGGAGGGTCCCACGCCCACGGATCCTCGTTCATTGCTAGCACAGCAGTCTGAGATCAAACTGCAAGGCCGCAGCTAGGCTGAGGGACGGGCGCCCCCGCAGTTGCTGAGTCTTCAGTAGGTAAACGAAGCAGCCCAGAAGCTCCAACTGGGTGGAGCCCACTGCAGCTGAAGGAGGCCTGCCTGCATCTGTAGACTCCACCTCTGATGGCAGGGCATAGCTCAAAAACAGGCAGCAGAAACCACTGCAGACTTAAATGTCCCTGTCTGACAGCTTTGAAAAGAGTAGTGGTTCTCCCAGCACAGAGTTTAAGATCTGAGAATGGACAGACTGCCTCCTCAAGTGGGTCCCTGACCCCCGACTAGCCTAACTGGGAGGCATCGCCAGTAGGGGCAGACTGACATCTCACACGGCCAGGTACCCCTCTGAGACCAGGCTTCTAGAGGAAAAACCAGGCAGCAACATTTGCTGTTCATCAATATTCGCTGTTCTGCAGCCTCCACTGCTGATACCCAGGCAAACAGGGTCTGGAGTGGACCTCCAGCAAACTCCGACAGACCTGCAGCTGAGGGTCCTGATTGTTAGAAGGAAAACTAACAAATAGAAAGGACATCCACACCAAAACCTCATCTGTACGTCACCATCATCAAAGAACAAAGGTAGATAAAACCACAAAGACGGGGAAAAACAGAGCAGAAAAGCTGAAAATTCTAAAAATGAGAGCGCGTCTCCCCCTCCAAAGGAACGCAGCTCCTCGCCAGCAATGGAACAAAGCTGGACGGAGAATGACTTTGACGAGTTGAGAGAAGAAGGCTTCAGACGATCAAACTTCTCTGAGCTAAAGGAGGAAATTCGAATGCATCACAAAGAAGCTAAAAACCTTGAAAAAAGATTAGACGAATGGCTAACTAGAATAACCAGTGTAGGGAAGTCCTTAAATGAACTGATGGAGCTGAAAACCATGGCACTAGAACTACGTGACGAATGCCCAAGCTTCAGTAGCTGATTTGATCAACTGGAAGAAAGGGTATCAGTGATTGAAGATCAAATGAATGAAATGAAGCGAGAAGAGAAGTTTAGAGAAAAAAGAGTAAAAAGAAATGAACAAAGTTTGCAAGAAATATGGGACTATGTGAAAAGACCAAATCTATGTCTGATTGGTGTACCTGAAAGTGACGGGGAGAATGGAACCAAGTTGGAAAACACTCTGCAGGATATTATCCAGGAGAACTTCCCCAACCTAGCATGGCAGGCCAACATTCAAATTCAGGAAATACAGAGAACGCCACAAAGATACTCCTAAAGAAGAGCAACTCCAAGACACTAATTGTCAGATTCACCAAAGTTGAAATGAAGGAAAAAATGTTAAGGGCAGCCAGAGAGAAAGGTCGGGTTACCCACAAAGGGAAGCCCATCAGACTAACAGCAGATCTCTCTGCAGAAACTCTACAAGCCAGAAGAGAGTGGGGGGCCAATATTCAACATTCTTAAAGAAAAGAATTTTCAACCCAGAATTTCATATACAGCCAAACTAAGCTTCATAAGTGAAGGAGAAATAAAATCCTTCACAGACAAGCAAATGCTGAGAGATTTTGTCACCATCAGGCCTGCCCTACAAGGGCTCCTGAAGGAAGCACTAAACATGGAAAAGAAAAACTGGTACCAGCCACTGCAAAAACATGCCAAATTGTAAAGACCATCGAGGCTAGGAAGAAACTGCATCAAGTAACGAGCAAAATAACCAGCTAACATCATAATGACAGGATCAAATTCACACATAACAATATTAATCTTAAATGTAAATGCACTACATGCTCCAATTAAAATACACAGACTGACAAATTGGATAAAGAGTCAAGACCCATCAGTGTGCTGTATTCAGGAGACCCATCTCACATGCAGAGACACACATAGGCTCAAAATAAAGGGATGGAGGAAGATCTACCAAGCAAATGGAAAACAAGAAAAGGCAGGGGTTGCAATCCTAGTCTCTGATAAAACAGACTTTAAACCAACAAAGATCAAAAGAGACAAATGAGGCCATTACATAATGGTAAAGGGATCAATTCAACAAGAAGAGCTAACTATCCTAAATATATATGCACCCAATACAGGAGCACCAAGATTCATAAAGCAAGTCCTTAGAGACCTACAAAGAGACTTAGACTCCCACATAATAATAATGGGAGACTTTAACGCCCCACTGTCAACATTAGACAGATCAACGAGACAGAAAGTTAACAAGGATATCCAGGAATTGAACTCAGCTCTGCACCAAGTGGACCTAATAGACATCTACAGAACTCTCCACCCCAAATCAACAGAATATACATTCTTCTCAGCACCACACCACACTCATTCCAAAATTGACCACATACTTGAAAGTAAAGCACTCCTCAGCAAATATAAAAGAACAGAAATTATAACAAACTGTCTCTCAGACCACAATGCAATCAAACTAGAACTCAGGATTAAGAAACTCACCCAAAACCGCTCAATTACATGGAAATTGAACAACCTGCTCCTGAATGACTACTGGGTACATAACGAAATGAAGGCAGAAATAATGATGTTCTTGGAAACCAAACAGACAACGGCACAACATACTAGAATCTCTGGGACACATTTAAAGCAGTGTGTAGAGGGAAATTTATAGCACTAAATGCCCACAAGAGAAAGCAGGAAAGATCTAAAATTGACACCCTAACATCACAATTAAAAGAACTAGAGAAGCAAGAGCAAACACATTCAAAAGCTAGCAGAAGGCTAGAAATAACTAAGATCAGAGCAGAACTGAAGGAGATAGAGACACAAAAAACCCTTCAAAAAATCAATGAAAGCAGGAGCTGGTTTTTTGAAACAATTGACAAAATTGATAGAACGCTAGCGAGACTAATAAAGAAGAAAAGAGAGAAGAATCAAATAGACGTAATAAAAAATGATAAAGGGGATATCACCACTGATACCACAGAAATACAAACTAACATCAGAGAATGCTATAAACACCTCTACGCAAATAAACTAGAAAATCTAGAAGAAATGGATAAATTCCTGGACACATACACCCTCCCAAGACTAAACCAGGAAGAAGTTGAATCTCTGAATAGACCAATAACAGGCACTGAAATTGAGGCAATAATTAATAGCTTACCAACCAAAAAAAGTCCAGGACCAGATGGATTCACAGCCGAATTCCACCAGAGGTACAAGGAGGAGCTGGTACCATTCCTTCTGAAACTATTCCAATCAATAGAAAAAGAGGGAATCCTCCCTAAGTCATTTTATGAGGCAAGCATCATCCTGATACCAAAGCCTGGCAGACACACAACGAAAAAAGAGAATTTTAGACCAATATCCCTGATAAATATCGACGCAAAAATCCTCAAAAAAAATACTGGCAAACTAAATCCAGCAGCTCATCAAAAAGCTTATCCACCATGATCAAGAGAGCTTCATCCCTGGGATGCAAGGCTGGTTCAACATATGCAAATCAATAAACGTAATCCAGTATATAAACAGAACCAAAGGCAAAAACCACATGATTATCTCAATAGATGCAGAAAAGGCCTTTGACAAAATTCAACAACCCTTCATGCTAAAAACGCTCAATAAATTAGGTATTGATGGGATGTATCTCAAAATAATGAAAGCTATTTATGACAAACCCACAGCCAATATCATACTGAATGGGCAAAAACTGGAAGCATTCCCTTTGAAAACTGGCACAAGACAGGGAAGCCCTCTCTCACCACTCCTATTCAACACAGTGTTGGAAGTTGTGGCCAGGGCAATCAGGCAGGAGAAAGAAAGAAAGGATATTCAATTAGGAAAAGAGAGAAGTCAAATTGTCCCTGTTTGCAGATGACATGATTGTATATTTAGAAAACCCCATTGTTACAGCTCAAAATCTCCTTAAGCTGATAAGCAACTTCAGCAAAGTCTCAGGATACAAATTCAAAGTGCAAAAATCACAAGCATTCTTATACACCAATAACAGAGAGCCAAATCATGAGTGAAGTCCCACTCACAATTGCTTCAAAGAGAATAAAATACCCAGGAATCCAACTTACAAGGGATGTGAAGTATTTCTTCGAGGAGAACTACAAACCACTGCTCAACGAAATAAAAGAGGACACAAACAAATGGAAGAACATTCCATGTTCATGGATAGGAAGAATCAATATAATGAAAATGGCCATACTGCCCAAGGTAATTTATAGATTCAATGTCATCCCCATCAAGCTACCAATGACTTTCTTCACAGAATTAGAAAAAACTATTTCAAAGTTCATATGGAACCAAAAAAGAGCCCACATTGCCAAGTCAATCCTAAGCCAAAAGAACAAAGCTGCAGGCATCACGCTACCTGACTTCAAACTATACTACAAGGCTACAGTAACCAAAACAGCATGGTACTGGTACCAAAACAGAGAGATAGACCAATGGAACAGAACAGAGCCCTCAGAAATAATACCACACATCTACAACCAACTGATCTTTGACAAATCTGACAAAAGCAAGAAATGGGGAAACGATTCCCTATTTAATAAATGGTGCTGGGAAAACTGGCTAGCCATATGTAGAAAGCTGAAACTGGATCCCTTCTTTTTCCTTATACAAAAATTCATTCAAGATGGATTAAAGACTTAAATGTTAGACTTAAAACCATAAAAACCCTAGAAGAAAACCTAGGCAATACCATTGAGGATATAGGCATGGGCAAGGACTTCATGTCTAAAACACCAAAAGCAATGGCAACAAAAGCCAAAATTGACAAATAGGATCTAATTAAACTAAAGAGCTTCTGCACAGCAAAAGAAACTACTATCAGAGTGAACAGGCAACCTACAGAATGGGAGAAAATTTTTGCAATCTACTCATCTGGCAAAGGGCTAATATCTAGAATCTACAAAAAACTCAAACAAATTTACAAAAACAAAAACAATCCCATCGAAAAGTGGGCAAATGTTATTTATGAACAGACACTTCTCAAAATAAGACATTTATGCAGGCAACAGACACATGAAAAAATGCTCATCATCACTGGCCATCAGGGAAATGCAGATCAAAACCACAATGAGATACCATCTCACACGAGTTAGAATGGCAATCATTAAAAAGTCAGGAAACAACAGGTGCTGGAGAAGATGTGGAGAAACAGGAATACTTTTATACTGCTGGTGGGACTGTAAACTAGTTCAACCATTGTGGAAGTCAGTGTGGCGATTCCTCAAGGATCTAGAACTAGAAATGCCATTTGACCCAGCCATCCCATTACTGGGTATATACCCAAAAGATTATAAATCATGCTGCTATAAAGACACATGCCCACGTATGTTTACTGTGGCACTATTCACAATAGCAAAGACTTGGAACCAACCCAAATGTCCATCAGTGATAGACTGGATTAAGAAAATGTGGCACATATACACCATGGAATACTATGCAGCCATAAAAAATGAGTTCATGTCCTTTGTAGGGACATGGATGAAACTGGAAACCATCATTCTCAGTAAACTATTGCAAGGACAAAAAACCAAACACTGCATGTTCTCACTCTTAGGTGGTAATTGAACAATGAGAACACTTGGACACAGGAAGGGGAACATCACACACCGGGGCCTGTTGTGGGGTCGGGGGAGGGGGGAGGGATAGCATTAGGAGATATACCTAATGTAAATGACTAGTTAATGAATGCAGCACACCAACATGGCACATGTAAACATATGTAACAAACCTGCACGTTGTGCACATGTACCCTAGAACTTAAAGTATAATGAAACAAAAACAAAAAAACAAAAAAAAACAAAGACCTAGAACCAGAACCAGAAATACCATTTGACCCAGCAATCTCATTACTGGGTATATACACAAAGGAATATAAATCATTCTATTATAAAGATACATGCACACATATGTTAACTGCAGCACTATTCACAATAGTAAAGACATGGAATCAACCCAAATGTCCATCAATGATAGACTGCATAAAGAAAATGTGATACATACACACAATGGAATACTATGCAGCCATACAAAGGAAAGAGATCATGTCCTTTGCAGTGGCATGGATGGAGCTGGAAGCCATTATCCTCACCAAACTAACACAGGAACAGAAAACCAAACACCACATGTTCTCACTTACAAGTGGGAGCTGAACAGTGAGAACACCTGGACACAGGGAGGGGAACAACACACATTGGGGCCTACTGGGGGGAACGGGGGGGAAGGAGAGCATCAGGAAAAACAGCTAATGCATGTTGGGCATAATATCTGGGTGATGGGTTGACAGGTGCAGCAAACCACCATGGCACACGTTTACCTATGTAACAAACCTGTACATCCTGCACATGTACCTCAGAACTTAAAATAAAATAAAATAAAATAGAAAGGCCTTCTTTGGTTACTTTATATAAAATGGTAAATACTCTTCCCCAAACTAGGCATTACTTTTCCCCCTTACTCTGATTTTCAGATCATCATTGAACATAATGCTGTCTGACATTCTATACATATAATGAAACACGAGTTCCATAGAGCAGGTACTTTTTCTTGTTCATTACTATATCTGCTATGCCAAAAAGAATATCTGGAACACAAGATAAGAACAGTAAATATTTCTGAATGACAAGTCAGGGTTAACTTTGAATCCAAGTTCCATCATGTACCAGCTGTCTGGAAAAGAACACTTAGCCCTTCTGTGGTTCAGTTTACTCATTGTAAATTTGAAATAATAATAATTAATGACAATATTGACCTCATTTGGCTGTTGTGAGGATAAAAACAGTAAAAACATATAATGTTCTTAGAACAATGCCTGGCACAAAATAAGTGTTACATTAACTTTCAGCTACTATTAATTTCAATAAGTCTACTAAACGGTCAACCCCACACAGTGGTAACCTTTCCTGAGGACAAGGATAAAACTAAAAAATAAGCTTACTCCACATTTTTCTTTTCTCTCTCTTCAGTCTTATATTGTTATGAATATTTATTTTTAAAACTCAGTTATATAACCAACAGTAAACAAAAATTCACACATTCTAAACTAAATGGCACAAGTCAAATTTTCCAGTCACAAGGAAACTAGAGTCTAAATTATCACGTATTGAGTTTTTTTCCATTTTAAATTGTTTTTCTCTCATTGTGATGGTAAATTTTTCTAAGTGTCAACTTGACTGGGCCATGAGGTGCCCAGATACTTGGTTAAACATTATTTCTGGGTGTGTCTCTGAGGGGTTTCTGGATGATTAACATCTGAATTGAGAGACTGGGTAAACCAGATGGTCTCCTCAATGTGGATGTGCCTTATCTAATCCATTAAAGGCTGAATAGAATAAATAGCTGAACAAGAAAAAATTCTCTCTGTCTCTCTGTCTCTCTCTCTCTCTCTCTCTCTCTCTCTCTCTGTTTTTAAGCTGGGACACTGGTCTTCTCCTGCCTTCAGACACAGACTGAACTTATACCATTGGAGACTATAACTTACACCACTGGCTCTCCTCGTTCTCAGGTCCTCATATTAGACCTGGCATGACACCATCAACAGATCTTGGATGTTTTAGCGTCCATATTATGTGAGACAATTTTTTATAGTAAATCAATCTCTCATTTCTCTCTCTGTGTGTGTGTACGTGTGTGTGTTCGTGTGTATCTGTGCCTGTGTGTGTCTGCACATCCGCATGCACGTTTACCTATATGTGTTTCCCCTATTGGTTCTGTTTCTCTGGAGAACCCCGACTAATATACCCAGGTACTTCTAAAAATATTTTAAGAAAAACTCTTTATTCATTCACCCCTTCGTACTATTATTGCATTTCTTAATGTGCTGGGTACTATGCGATGTTGGCAAAGCTAATATATCCTTTTATCCTCAAAGAACTTCCAGCCCAGAAGTGGACTATAAACATGCAAAACAAATAAAATTCATTTCATTTGATGAATACTACGTTAAAAACATGCTCAGTGGACATAAGACTGCCATTCATTCTATGACTTCAGAAAGGTTTCAAGGACGCAGCCATGTGCCAGTTAGACAAATACTACTAAATAGAAATTGTGATTCACTAAAGGAGTAACACAAGGGACATAAAAGAGAAGGGAGGGATATAAAAATTCTAAAGGAAGTAAATAGGATTTTGTCACTAACTGAGTGTGTGAAAAAAAGAAACAGAGGTTAGCACCCATCTGTCTGAATTAGTACAAAAGATGATGATTAACTTTTACTAGATTCAATTTTAAATGTCTGTGAAATATCAAGGTGTTAGAGATATGTATTAATAGGCAGATAATGAGATACTCAGGTAAAGAGCTTTAAAAAAGTTCTGGGTTATAGATTTGCAAATTTCTGGAATATATTCATAGATAAAGAACGTATAATAAGAACAAACCTGTATTACACACTACATAAGGAAGATATAGGAGAATACTATGTCTAAAATCCTGTTTGAGAAAAGCTGTAGCTATACAGTTGGAGGAGAATTTATCATGAGATTATTTTGTAAAACACAGTGATAAAGAATAAAAAATGATACATAGAAACAACTTTAAACAAAATGCAAAGATTCCCAACTTTCCTTTTCAACATAAAGGCATTTGGAGAAAGAAAGCCAAATGTGAAATATTAAAATATAGTCCTGAAAAGACAATTCTATGTGATACAATATAGTCCACCACAATTTTTTTAAAAAATAAGACTTGGCGAATCTTAATGAAAGTGTAGTTAACAGTCCACTGCACATTTTCTTCTCAACTATCTGGTGACTCTGCATACCTTTACAAAAGGGGCTAATTATAAAGACAATTGACTCAACAAGGATTCTAAAAGGCATCTTGCAAAAAGCATAGCTTTAGGAGTAAGACGAGGATTTGAAAACCAGGCATCGATGCTTATTAGTTGTGTGACCTGAATCCCTCATGATTAGAACCATGATTAGAACTACACTGTAAATGCTCAAAAAAATTTATTGAAAAAAATGAATGAATTAGTTACCTAGGACTTATTTGAATATCAGTTTACTAATCTATAATATGTACTCAATACCATAAGTTCCAAAACTCTCTAAGTTTGTAGTGAGAAACAACATATAAAAGGCCCTGTAAAGTGTCTGGACAATAAATTAATAAATATTACTTCTTTTATCTTATGTTTCCTTGGCTTAATGATTTAAAAGTTGCAACTAAAAAAGACTCTAGATCTGCTTTAAATTTTGGGGGTCTCATTAGAAAAGTACATTATTAAATGAAATAAGTCCAAGATTTTAAGTTTGATGATTTTGTTTGGTTCACTACTTTACTGCTAGCCCAGATTTAGCTAGATAAGTATTTGTTAAATAAACTGATTAAAGGGCTCTTTGAAAACTGCTCTTATTCAAAGTGGTATTTTAGCTTTAGAAAAAAAAAGTGCTTAACTTTAAGAATATTCTTTATAGTCTCTCCAATTAGCTTGTTTCTGAATATCATACATACAAAGATACTGTATATCATTTTATATGACTGGAAGAAACTTTGGCTTCCACTTCCAGTATTTCAAATCCATCATGTCACTGTAACTGTGTAGAAATGTTCAATAAGTTTTCAAATCATCTTTATATCACCTTCTAATGTCAGAGAACAATCACCTTTATATCCTATTTCTATATAGCTCATATTTGTTCTTGACTAATTTTGACAATTTCTTCTACAATAACTCTTTAGTACAGTTTCGTACAAATGTATTTCAGAAAATGAAATACGCAAGGAAAAAAAACTTTGGAACTTAAAAATTTTTTTCTGTTCTTTTTAATTGAATAAATTTTATACACTTAGAAGATTTAAAAGTGCACAAACATTCACAAACACATGTACAAGTCTTATAAACATGAAAACAAAAAAAGTCTTTCAGTTACAAAACTCTTGATACACGGCATCTTCAGCTCTATGAATAATCTGAGATAAATTGAAAAAGCAATGAGGGAACTAAAATGCCAAGCAAATGAACCACTAACAATATTCATATCCTAAGTGTCAGGCAAAAGGCTATGATATAACATAACTATCCCTCTATTTCTTTCACATAATGTTGGATATTGCACATGTTAAGTTGGATATATAGATACAGCTTCCTCAACTTCAAAAGTGAGTATGTTTTGTGAAAGTATGTGAGGCTTTAGAGGATAGGAGGAAAACTTACACATATTTCATATATGCTAAAATAGCTGGCAGTACCACAAAAAAACTGCTGAAGTGTTTCCTGCATTCATCTTCTATTTTTCTCATTCTTCTCATGAATAGGTATAAATATGCATGTATTCACTTATTCACTCTCTAAATATTTGAGCATCAATTATGTTCAAGGCACTGTGTAATTCACTTTGCAGAGGAAAAAGAGAGCAAGGATGGCAATATTAATATTAGGTAGATCGAAATAAAGGCAAGAAATCTTAAACTGGACCAAGAGGGTAGAAAAAAGGTATAATCCATAATGAAAAAGTAATGATTATGAAACTTATAAAATGAATAAAATAGAATGTATATATAAAGAAAACACTACGGCCGGGCGCGGTGGCTCGCGCTTGTGGTCCCAGCACTTTGGGAGGCCGAGGCGGGCGGATCACGAGGTCAGGAGATCGAGACCATCCTGGCTAACACGGTGAAACCCCGTCTCTACTAAAAATACAAAAAAATTAGCCGGGCGTGATGGTGGGCGCCTGTAGTCCTAGCTACTCGGGAGGCTGAGGCAGGAGAATGGCGTGAACCCGGGAGGCGGAGCTTGCAGTGAGCCGAGATTGCGCCACTGCACTCCCGCCTGGGCCACACAGCGAGACTCCGTCTCAAAAAAAAAAGAAAACACTATTAGAAATGCAAGGAAAAACTAACAGAAACACAAATGTTTGGGAAGTATTTAACATGCCAGTATTAGTATATCAGTACTTATATATCAACTTTATAAGAATAAATAAAACCAATTGATAAATAGAAATAGGTATAAAGATATAATTAAGTTAAATAATCTGTATGAAAAGCCCTATCTTTTATAAACTATACAACACTCACTAACATTCAAAATAGTTTACAATATTGACCATATCACACACACACACAAACATCCCATAGGAAGAATGAAAACCAAAAATGTGCTTAGTTGAAAATTACAGATATTCTCAAAACAATTTTGGGGGTAAGAGGGTAATCATAACTGTCCATCCAAGAGGAGCTTAAGGAGACAGGACCACTACATTTAATGTGGTATCCTGGATGATGTGGTATCCAGAAAAAGGACATTAGGCAAAAGGTAACAAACTGTGAATAAAGTATGGACTTGAGTTTATAGCAATGTATCAAGATTAGCTCATTTATTGTGACAAATATACCATACTAATGTCATATATTAATAATAGGGTAAACTGAGTGGGTAGGTATACAGAAACTATTTGTATTATCTTCACAATTTTTTGTAAACCGGAAACAAACATTTTACTATAAAAAATTAACCAGGTGAGTTAGAATACAGTGAAAATGCTATGCATTAAACTTCTTAGAAATAGAAAACATCATGGCTATACAGAAAACATTCTAGAGCCAAAGAAAACAGGTACTATGAAAACTCATTATATGAAAAAGAATAACCTATAAAACTTTTCAGTGATTCTAATCTCGCCATCTCCTAAAACACAAAAACAAAACAAAAAAAAAAAACAAGCTAAAAACCATGCTTGTTACCTTAGCCTGGAAGGTCATACTTCATCTGGCTCAGTGACTTCTTTTGGCTCATTAACCTCAAAATATCCTGGCACTCTTATGGTTGTCCAAACATACCAGAAGAGCTTAATCTTTCCTGAGAATTTCTCCCTCTCTCTCTCACATACCCAGAGAAATTTCCAAGAAAATCAGAAATAATGGAACATAGCATTATTTTCTGTAGGTCGTTAGCAACCCAATTCGGAAAGGGAGTGAAAATATTATTTTACACAACATAATCTTAAAAAATCTCAAGGATAAACAATTTAAAAATCAAAAAGTAGTAAGACACAAATATAAAGTCTTAGAGCTTTCCTGAAAGCCAAGAAAAATTGGTTCAAAAATGTAGTGCCAAAAATGATCCCATTCTCAATAGCAACCTCCTCCTCCCACTAAAAATATCACTCACACTGGATGCACTAGCTAGAGCACAGAAGCAAACTAAAGACATACAAAGATGTTCAGGGCAATCAACCTGGGCTCTTATTTCAAACTCACATGTGCTTTGATCTGGTTTCTGTCTAGTCCCTGATTGGGTGCTCTGTTCCTCTTTATTATACCTCTCTTTCCCCTTAAACTTCAACCTTTGTTCTTGTTTTTTTTTTTTTTTTTCTGGCTCATGGCTAAGAACATTTATTTTCAGTGTGTTGTGCTATCTCCCTCTAGTTTTGATTGCTTCGATGAGTCATGACCAAAGCCTTCAGACCCAATAATTAGCCCAGCTCTAGTCTTAGTCACACCTAGCACATACTTGACCCACCTCAATCCCCTAAGAAATTCAGAAAATCAATACAATGTAGTATGGATACATATAAAAATGACTGGCACAACGTCTGGCCAATAGAAGGTGCTTGATAAAAGTTAATAGAATCTGAATCTGAATAACACAGGACAGGATTCTCTTCTGAGTCCAAGGGCCATAATTTTATGTAAGTGCTAGGTATTCCCATCTAGGAATCCTACTGCAACTTCAAATTTGACAAATCCAAGCTCAACTGCATTAGGCAGGACATTTCTACTTATAAGTAGAGGAAACCAGCTTGAGCTAGCTTAAGTAAAATGGAGGATTTAGATGAATACAGAGACAGGAATGGTGCTATACCTCAAGTGTGAGAGAGGAGAGTCTGTTCTTTCTTTGATGTTTGTTTCTCTCTGAATATCTTTTACATATTTCTTTCTAGAGAGAAACGTTCTAGTGAGAAACTTTCTAGTAACTTTTAGTCCACAAAGTAAGTGAATTAAAAGAGCCATTGGCTCCCAATTTCCCACGATAAGGATTCCAGTCAGAAAGATATTGACATTCTGGGTCTCAGTTGTCAATCCTGGAGGATGATCTCTAGTCCAATTAATAATGGTTATGAGTACTCCTTCCTTATAGGGTCCTTGGAAAAAAGAATGGTTATGGGGATATGGTCAAATTGTAAATTTGATGCAACATTCCATCTCTATAAACTTTTATGATTTGGAGATGGGGATGACAGAGACAAAATGTAGAAGAAATTATGAACTACCCAATTGGTGTAATTTGCCCATTACCAACTAAATGTTTGTACCACACTTTCCTAAGTTTATGAATTAGACCATCATTTTTTCTTCTACAAAATCATCATGTGTCTAGATTTAAACATCTTTCATATAAGTCACATTTCATATATTTTTCTTCTGTCCTTCAAACCAATGACCTATAGGCTGTATTTTTCAAATTATCTCCTTTTATTCTAGCCCCACTGCCATGATTCTCTTTTAGCCTCATGAGAACTTTCATCTAAATTAATAGTCATTCAACAGCTCTTCTTGCCTTCAGATTTTCCCCACTCCATAGCTGGAGATTAGTGGGTCAGGGAGAGGCTACTAGATAATGCTGGAGAGGCAAACAGAAGTCCAAAGGACTCTGTGTAAATTGGAAGACAAAATTTTTATCTTGTATTAAACATGATGGGAGGCCACTAGAAGATTTCAAGGATGGGCATGGTTTTAGTTGGGGGAAAGAAAGGAAGCAGGGAGAGCAGTAATGAAAATAATATTGATGATTTGGTTTGGGCAGATGGTAACAGAGATAATTTAATTATGTCATTCCCTACTTAAAGTCCACAAATTGCTTTCCATTACCGATAGAATAAAAAAAAAATACGTGGCTTCAAATCTTTTTTTTACGTTTTATTTCCCATCATCTCCCTATGTGCCCAACATTATAACCACATAAAAAATTCTCATAATCCTTGAGTTCACCACATATTTTCACACATTTTTAGATGTGTGTTCATAATGCTAACATAGCCTAAAATGCCTTTCTCAACCATCTATACTAGTAAAAATACTACCCATATGAAGGCCAATCTGTATGCAATATCATCTGTAGAGCTTTCTATTATTCTGTCCAATAGAATTAATTCCTTAGCCCTACATAATTTCATAGATTTGTGCATGACTTAAATTCAGTATTTTTAACATAATAGTAATTAGCATAGCCAATCCTTTCCTTACCTGGATTTTGGCTCCTTGAAGGCAGAAATTATTATTCATAACTTATAGCCTCATCTCTGCCTAGCATACTTACAGTAGATATTTAAAGAACTCTTACTGAATGAGCATACAAAAAGAGACAGGAATAAAAACATCCTTTTCTATCAAATTAGAATGAAAGCTCCCAGAAGACAGAGAATATTTTTTATATGTTTTATCTTTGCATTTATAATGCTAGTAAAAGTAAACACTCAATAAGTGCTTGGTGTGGTAATGGATTCTACAAAATAGTCTAAGAATTAGAATTCCAGAATAATTAAATATTCCAGATTCATGAATCACATTTTATCTAATTTCCATTACTCCTTTAACAAAATAATAAAATCTTATGGAGGGAGTCAAACAGGTCCAATCATGAAATACTTGACATCTTTATATGATTAATACAAAAAAATAAAAGTGTTATCAACAACTCACTGAAAAATAACCTATAAGCATCTTAAATATTAAATGTAGAAAGAAAACAAATATTAAAATGGTGTTAACAGTGATATAACTATTCATTTAATAGGTTTGGTTAACTGAATCATCATCAGTTATCCAAATAAAATTTAAAGAAAAAAATCCAACTTTACAGGAAGTGGAAATGAATAAGATAAAAGTGATTATTGCCAGAGAAGAACAGTTTAAACTTTGAAATAGGGTTTTTTTTTGAAAATATTTTCAAGAATCTGTATAGCAAAACTAGATATGTTAGATGTTAGAGCTACCATTAAGTAATTTTCTTCTCTAATTTAAATAGAATAACAAATGATTGAAACAATCCCCATAGCAATCCCTCACATCATGATGCACACAATACTCATGAAATAAAGAATATCTTCTTTAAGAAACAAACAAAAAACATATAACAAAACGATGCATTTTTTAATATTTTAAAGGTAATAAATTATCATGGAAAAGGCATTCAATAGTTTCTACCCACATTTTGTGAATTTATTGTTCTATATTGATCTAAAATCTGTACATATAAAATATGTCAGGCCATTATATTAAACAAACGAAATAAATACAGCAAAA
Source organism: Homo sapiens (assembly GCF_000001405.40). Classification (NCBI taxonomy): domain Eukaryota; kingdom Metazoa; phylum Chordata; class Mammalia; order Primates; family Hominidae; genus Homo; species Homo sapiens. The sequence continues at coordinate 114,240,331 of NC_000007.14, read as the reverse complement.
TATGAATAATATAAGGAAAATTCATGTACTCTTGAATTTGGAGAGAAAGTTATTTTTAACAACCAGAGGATAAACATACATGAAAAAGTACAGGTTTTCCTCCCCCCAACCAACAAAAAGGTGAAACATAAAATTCTTTCAAGTGCCATTGTTTCTTTCCTTTGCTTCTACAAAGCAAGGAAGACAATAACATCTTTCTGCATTTATTAAGATCATAAATAGGACAATTTCAGTCTTGATCACGTGAATATTTTATGAGGAAGGCTGGAGTGTGGGGAAAAAACTAAATGCTGCAAATTTCCTCATACTAGGTCTTCCTTTGAAGGTGCACAGGTGCTTTAAGTAAACCCTTGCCCATATTTGATAAAACAGGCATAAAGTATATATCGTTTTCCAAATCAGGCGTGCCATATACAGTATTTTCAGACATAAAAAGTTTGACATAAACATCACAGAATACATTTGTGTGTGTGTGTGCATGTTTGTGTGTTTAATAAAATTTAAACTTAGTCCAGACCTTAGAATGCCAGGCAGAAGGACTGTTCCTTGTAGAAGACTATTATAGAGATTTTTTTTCTCATTTCTTTTAAATGTTTTAACTTCTGAAACCAAAATGCTCAGGTAACTATGGTAACATGTTATCTTTTAACTATTTGTTTATGCCTTTTTTTGTCTAAGTAGGCAATTCTCATATTCCTGAAATTCTATCTAGCATTCACATTCACTGGGCTAGGACTGACGGGTGAAGGCAGAGCTAAAACCAACTGTCTTCCAACTTAATCCCAACAAAGCCAAATGCTCAATTTCTGCAGATGCTGTTTCCTAAAGCAATGGATCTCGAAACCAAATGCCAACCCATTTAATTCATCAACATTTCCTACCAAAATAAAAATACCCATATATGAATAAAAGATATTAAAAGGTACGGGAAACTCACAAAAGTTTTTGACATTAAGTAAAGACTTTAACACTTATTTGTAGAGATTATACAAAGATTAAAAATGAAAGACTTTATTTTCACATTTACTCCTTAAATTATTACATTTACTACTTGAATAACTACATGTTACATTTACTACTGAATGACAAAAAAAGAGAGAAGGAATTCCAAAAAAATATAGAACTTGATCATCCTCATTTTTCACAAGAAAAAAGAAAAAACTGCTATGATAGTTTTTGTCTCATTTGTGATTGTAAGTTAATCCATCAATCCATCTAAGCAATAGAAAATAGTTATTAAATACTAAATTTTTGTTCAGCATTTTTACAGAATGCAAAAGTTTGTAAAGCTATAACTGAAACGTGAATGCTGTTTCTAAAGAATGCTTTTAATAAATTATAAAATTTATATGAAGTTGAAATTTGCCATTATTTTTATATTTATAAATGTTTGTATTATATATAATATATAATAATATACACATATATATTTAGACATCTAAGGCCAAATATAACATAAATTTTCCAGTCATTTATAGCACTTGCTTTTACTAAGAATATATTATTACAGAGGTTACTGAAAGAGCTGTAGTTTGTTTTTTGTTTTTTTGGTTTTTTTCCCAGATAGAGTCTAGCTCTGTCGCCCAGGCTGGAGTGCAGTGGCATGATCTTGGCTCACTGCAGCCTCTGCCTCCCAGACCCAACCCATCATCCTCCCTCAGCCTCCTTAGTAGCTGGGACTACAGGCACGAACCACCATGCCCAGCTAACTTTTGTATTTTTAGTAGAGATGGGTTTCGCCATGTTGACGAGGCTGGTCTCGAATTCCCAATCTCAGATGATCTGCCCATCTCAGCCTCCCAAATCTTTGGGACTGCAGGCGTGAGCCACTTCGCCAAGGCATTTAACTCTTAAAATATAGAAGTACTCATCTTATTTCTATTTTTCATCCTAATTACAGCCAAAGATATTTTCTTTCTTCTAATACAACCAAGCTGTATCTATGATGAATTTCTCAAAACTTTATATGCAGTGAAATAACAATTCATGTTTGTGTAGAGTTTTAAAACTAATCACAATTTCCTAAGGAAAAAATATTTCAGATTAGGAAGAAAAAAAAAAAGTGTTAAAATCTTAGCAGATGGTAGATATAGGTCAAGTTCTGTCTTGGGAATAGAATACACCAGTGAGTTGAGATTGTTTCTGTCTCTATTCACAAACAGCACATCTGCATTTCATAGTTTAACTACCACTTCTCTCTTTACCACATCTACAAATATAATGCACAAAACAGTGATAATTGGTTAACAAAAAATACATATGTCAAAAGTTTGTGGATTGTTAGCAACTTTGTTTCCAGAGATAAAAATTGATTTTTTGTTTGTGTGTGTGTTTGTTAGTTTGTTTGTTTGTTTGAGATGCAGTCTCGCTCTGCCGCTGCCCAGGCTGAAGTGCAGTGACAGCATCTTTGTTCACTATAACCTCTGCCTCCTGGGTTCAAGCAATTCTTGTGCCTCAGTCTCTGGGGCAGCTTGCACCACAGGCACCCACCACCACACCTGGGTAATTTTTTGTATTTTTAGTAGACAGGGTGTTTCACCATGTTGCCCAGGCTGGTCTCAAACTCTTGGCCTCAAGTAATCCGCTTGCCTCAGTCTCCCAAAGTGCTGAGATTAGAGGTGTGAGGCTCTGAGCCCTGCCTAAAATAGAATACAATAATTTTTTTAAAAAACAAACAAAAAAAAAAGCAAGGAAAGAATGAAGCAACAAAAGCAGAGATTTACTGAAAATGGAAGTACACTCCACAGTGTGGGAGCAGGCCTGAGCACGTGGTTCAAGAGCCCTAAAACAGATTTCTAATCTATGTTTCCCATAATTAAAATATAAGGCTTAATAAAGAAAATTTAGCCATTGTATATTACAATGCATGGCAATTACTTGCATGGCAATTCAGTATTCAATTTCGATTGTCCCAAATGTGCTATTCCCATTTTATGCCTGAAGAAACTGAGAATTAGAGAGGTTAGGTAAGTTATCTGTGTAACTCAATACTTTTTTGAAATGAGTAATATTAAACAAGCCTCTGACTTCAAATATTTTGAATATTTTACTTCATTATTCATATTGTACCTTCAACACTTTATCTGAACTTGGTAGAAGATAATAGTCAGTTTCTGGAAACATCACTCATACTCGTACAAATGTTTCAGGGCATAAATATTCATTTATTTATGTATAAATATATATTTGTATCCTTATTGTCTATTAAACAAACTTTCTTGTAGAAACACAGCCTATCACACAAATAAGCAGTACATGTCAGCCCCCCACACAGACATACACATATACACACAAATACAAGAGAAAAATGTTGGACACTTACTTTGACTTTAGTATTTTTATTTATCATTTTCTTTTTGAGACAGGGTCTTTCTATCACCTAGGATGGAGTCAGTTGCATGATCTCGGCTCACTGCAGCCTTCACCTCCTGGGTTCAAGCAATTCTCCTGCCTCACCCTCCCGAGTAGCTGGGATTACAGGTGTCCACCACCACGCCCAGCTAGTTTCTGTATTTTTAGTAGAGAAGGGGTTTTGCTATGTTGGCAAAGCTGGTCTTGAACTCCTGGCCTCAAGTGATCCACCCACCTCAGCCCCTCGAAGTGCTGGGATCACAGGAGTGACCACTGTGCATGTAAATGTGTATGTAAAGCACATGTAAATGTGTATGTAAAGTACATGTACATGTGTATGTAAAGTTCTATTTTCTATAATAAGGATATATAATTGTGAATAACTATTCTTTTCTGCAGTTTATTCTTCAGCTACAGAATAATAAATACCTGTGGAAGGACTTGGCAGTTTATGTGTCCAAATCTATAGCTATACATTTACAATTCGAAGTAGAAGAAAAGCATCACATGATATTAGGCAGACACTAAATAGATACCAGCATAGATTAGACTACATGTGTTTCTGAAATATAACCTTTCTGCTTTATATGTTTAGAATTAAGATAATCCTCCATCCACTATTATAAATGAATATAAAAATTTCCAAATATAATACAAACAGCCTGAAAATAATAAATTACTACAGATTTTTTCCATCCTACAGAAACTTCATTATATATTCTTAAATTGACAAACATTGTGCAAGTCTAATCTATCATTTATTTAACATCAAAGACATATCAATTGCCAATCCATTGAAAGCTTTTCCATATTCATATTTCTTATCCTCTCACTGGCATTTAGCATTTTTTAAATAAAAGGAATTCCATTCACTCATTCAACAAATATTTATTCAGCAGTTTCTATGTGCAGGGAACCATAAATAACTCAAAGCAATCAGGGATAGATGTTTCTCCCAAGGAGCTTCGAATCTAATAGGGAAGTAACTGTCAAAAATAAGAAGCCCCATTAAGAAAGGTAAGATAAACTCCTATACAAGCACTTAGAGAGAAATTATTTCCAGTTGGAAATCAAAGAATGCTTTACAGAGAGAATGAGTTGTATAAGTTTAATTTCTCCGTATAGTGATAAGACTGGAGAATGAACAACTAATAGGTGGGCTGTTTGGCCCCTTTATTCTGACCACTGATCATCCTGATAATGAGGTAAGAGTCCCACCAGCCAAAATGATGTAAAAGGCCCTATGATCAGTGCAAAATTGGAGGCTTAACCAAACTTGCCAACGCTATTCTCAACTATTGGTGTTCATGATTGAGAACAGTAAGGAGCAGAGATGACAATTCTATGACCTAAGGAAGGAAATTATCTTCAAAGCAAATAAAGATGTTGTATAAAATAGAAATTCAGTGTACTAAGACAATATACTACATTTTGTGACATCAGAAAACCTCTGAAGTCACATAACACCAATTCTAGTAAAATTTTTTTAGTATTCTAACAGCCACTCTAAAATACTTTGTCCAGTTGAATTTCAAAGTTGCTCAAGGGGTATTTCACAAGTGTTTTTCCTTTTTTTTAAGTGATAAAAAACATAGGTGCTGCAAGAAAAAAAAAAGTTAAAATACAAATTACCTCCTGTTGCCAGAGGAAGATTATATAATCTGTAACAATAAATTTTACTGAGCACAACTATATGCACAGATATAAAATAATTGTTTTAACAATGAACATAGACATAAGAATAATGTGTAAACTAAGAACAGTATAAAAACATTGATAAGGTAGTTATAAAAAGAAAGGGAGCATTTATTCATCAACAAGTATTCACTCATTAAAAAAAAACATTGGAGTGATGACTATTGAAAACTATATGAGACCATGAGACATAGCAATGAATACAATTGGATACTTTCTCACCCGTCATTGAAGGTTATATACAGTATTCTGAGGTAGTCAACTATTGAACAAGTAATTATAACTGTGATCAGTCTAAAATAAAAGGGACTAGTGGGGCTAAACCTAACCTCAAGATTATGGATAGCTTCCCAGAGAAAGTGGCCTTTAACTGGAGATGACTAGGAGTGAGCTAACAAAGAGGGTAGCAAGAAGAAAAGTATGGAAGAGACTGCTCTAGGTAGAGACATATGATCTACGACAAGAGAAAAGAGGTCAAGGAGCTGAAAAAAGATCAATATGACCATGGAAAATGCAGGGCAAGAATGCCAAAAGACGAGCCAGTGAGCCAGATTAGAGTAGAACGAATAAAGGGCAGAGTTGAAATCCTGGCTCTGCTACTAACTAGCTATGGGACTGTAGAAAGCTCATTAACAACTCAGAGCCTTGGCTGTTTCATCTTTCATGTAAGAAATTAAAACAAAATCATTTCCGAAGGTTTTTTGTTTGTTTGTTTGTTTTAAATTCCAAGTAATTCATGTCGTAACCTAGGGTTAAAATCTGCTATTGATTTGCAGTTTACAGAAGCTATATTGCTAACGTTAAACAACCTGTACCTCATTCAGAATATTTTTACGACTGCATTGGATGTTTAGTAATGCTATTTAAATTATTTTTTCCTAGTTAAAAATACCACAATAATGCTTAATGTCCAAGAAAGTCACATTCTTGATCACTCATTTTAACCTGCATTGAGATAAACCTAACACTGTCTCCTAAAGAAAATCTTAACCCTGCTGGTAGATGCTTCTCTCTGGGACTACCTCTCTACAGAGGAGGAGCCTTTTACCCAGATAAGCATTTGGTCAGGTTCCTCAATTATTTCATTATAAAAATGTATCAACCTCACTTAAAAATAATTTTCCCATCATATAAATGAGGTATTTCCAGGGTATAATACAGATAGAAAAGAGAGTGAGACAGTGGGCAAGAGAGGGAAGAAAAACACACGTAATCTCAATACCCAGTGATAATAATTGGCAATATTCTTCTGTAGTTTTTTTGTTTTTGTTGTTTTGAGACAGTCCCTCTCTGTTGCCCAGGCTGAAGTGCAGTGGCGCAATGTGGACTCACTGCAACTCTGCCTTCCAGGTTCAAGCTATTCCTGAGCCTCAGTCTTCCAAGTAGCTAGGATTACAGGTGTGCACCACCATTCACGGTTAATTTTTGTACTTTTAGTAGAGATGGTGTTTTGCCATGTTGATCAGGCTGGTCTCAAACTCCTGGCATCAAGTGATCTGCCTGCCTCAGCCACCCAAAGTGTTGGGATTACAGGCGTGAGCCACCATGCCCAGCCACTGCTGTATTTTATTCATCATATTACTACAGTTTGCCTGATCTCCCAAAAGCATCAATTTTAATTTTGTGTCAATTGTGGAAGCAATTGTTTAATTGTTTATTTTAGAAGCACTGTATGTATAACATTAAAGTGAAACTTCTCAGGATGGAGTGAGCCTTAGGAAGCCCAGAGCCCCAGCTAATCCACTCCATTCCCATAGCCCTTGAAGGGCCTCATGGAAGCACAAGTTGAATGCCACTGTTCTTGATCAATGATGTCAAACTTTTGTTTTAATCACATCCACTAATCAATAACTACTTTTGAGCATGCATTCCTAAAAAGATTCATTCATATTTTATATACAAGTGCTACTATACTTAAATATTTTATATACTCTGTTTTGTATAAGACATACACAAGAGTAAAAATGCAGAGGATAAAGATGAAATGATGAAATACTATTTTTATTTAATTTCACTATAGGAATCCTAAACACTCCTTTTGTACATGTAAAAATATTGTTGTTAATACTATCTATATGGAGAAATTACCAGGCATTTCTCTCTTATTTTATTGTGGTAAAAAACACATAACATGAGATCTACCCTTTTAACAAATTTTTAAGTGAAGAGTATTGTTAACAACAAACACAATTTTTCACAGCAGATCTCTAGTATGTATTCATACTGCATGACTGAAAGGCTATCCATTGAACGGAAGCTCCCCATTTCTCCTCCTCATAGCTCCTGCACCCACCATGCTATTTTCTGCTTTATGAGTTTGACTACTTTAGATACCTCATATAAGAGGAATCAAGCAGTATTTGTCCTTCTCCGATTTATTTATTTCATTTAGCATAATGATCTCAAATTTCATTCACGTTATAGCATATAATAGGATGTCCTTTTATGGCTGAACAATTTTTTTTTTTTTTTGAGACGGAGTTTCGCTCTTCTTGCCCAGGCTAGAGCGCAATGGCATGATCTCGGCTCACCACAACTTCCGCCTCCCGGGTTCAAGTGATTCTCCTGCCTCAGCCTCTGGAGTAGCTGGAATTACAGGCATATGCCACCATGCCTGGATAATTTTGTATTTTTAGTAGAGATGGGGTTTCTCCATGTTGGTCAGGCTGGTCTCGAACTCCTGACCTCAGGTGATCCGCCCGCCTAAGCCTCCCAAAGTGCTGGGATTACAGGCATGAGCCACCCTGCCGGGCCTGCTAAACAATATTTTATTGTATGTAAATACCATAATTTCGTTATCCATTCATCCATTAATGGGCATTTAGGGTGTTTCCATCTCCTGATTATTGTGAATAATGTTACAATGAACATGTGAGTGCTAATATCTCTTCCAGACCTTGATTTAAATACTTTGTATAAATAACTAGAAGTAGGATTGATGGATCACAAGGTAGTTCTATTTTTAATTTTTGGAAGAATCTCCTTACTGTTTACCGTAGTGGCTGTATCATTTTACATTCCCACCAACAGTGCCTAAGTGTTCCAATTTCTCCATTTCCTTACCAACACTTATCTTCTGTTTTGTTTTGTTTTTTATAATGGCCATCCTAACAGGTGTGAGGTGGTATTTCTTTGTGAGTTTTACTTGCATTTCCCTGATGATTAGTGATATTGAGAATCTTTTCATATTCCTTTTGGCCATTTGTGTGTCCTCTTTGGAGAAATGTAGATTCAAGTCCTTTGCCCATTTTTCAATCAGTTATTTGTTTTTTTGCCACTGAGATGTAGGAGTTCCTTTTTTTAAGATATTAATTCCTTATCATATAAATGGTTTACAGATACTTTCTACCACTCTGTAGGCTGCCTTTGCACTCTTGTTTCTTTTGCTGCACTGAAACTTTTTAGTTTAATGCAGTCTCACTTGTCTATGTGTGCTTTTGTTGCCAGTGTTTTTGGTGTCATATCCAAAAAATAATTGCCAAGAACAAGGTCATGAAGCTATTCCTCTATGTTTTCTTATAGGAGTTTTACACTTTCAGGCCTTACCATTAAGTCTTTAACCTATTGTGAATTGATGTTTATGTATGGTATAAGAATCCAATTTCATTATTCGGCATGTGGATATCCAATTTTCCAAGCACCATTCATCACACAAACTGTCCTTGCACCATTGCATAGTTTTGGCATCACTGTGGAAGATCATTTGACAAATAGATCATACATTATTTTATTTCTGGGGTTTCTATTTTGTTCTATTGGTATGTCTTCACGCCAGTACCATACTGTTTTGATTACTGTAGCTTTGTATTCACAACACGTTTTGAAATCGATGTGTGAGGTCTCCAGCCATATTCTTCTGTTTCTAAATTGTTTTGGTTATTTAAAGTCCTTTGTCATTCAATATGAATTTCAGAATTGCTTGTTCTATATCTGTAACAAATGCATTGGGATTTTAATAGGAATTGCAATAAATCTGTAGATTGCTTTGGGTGGTGTTGATATTTTAACATTTATTCTTCTAATCCATAAAAATGAGACATTTTATTTATTTGTCTCTTCAATTCTTTCAGTAATATTTTGTAGTTTTTAGTGTGCAAGTCTTTTGGTTAAGTTTATTGATGAGTATTTTATACTTTTAGACTCTATTTTAAATGATATTGTTTTCATAATTTCATTTTCAGATTGCTCACTGTTAATGTATAGAAATAAATGAATTTTTGTATGTTGATATCGTATCCTGCAAATTTGCTGAATTCATTTATTGCTTCTAATGGGGATTTGTGTGTGTGTGTGTGTGTGTGTGTGTGTGTAATCTTTAGGGTTTTCTATATATGAGATCATGTTACCTGCTAGCAGAGATAATTTTACTTCTTTCTTTCCATTATGTATGCCTTTTATTTCTTTTTTTACATCATTGCTCTGGCTAGGACTATGAGTACTGTGTTGAATAAAAGTGGTAAGAATGTTCTTGTCTTGTTCCTGATGTTGAGGAAAAGCTTTTAGCTTTTCAATATGGAGTATGATATTAGCCATAGGTTAGTCATGTAAATCCTTTCTTATGTTGAGGTAATTTCCCTCTATTCCTTGCACACTGAATGTTCTTATTGTAAAAGGGTGTTAAATTTTGTGAAATGGTTTTTCTGCATCTATTCTAATGATCATGTGATTTTTATCTTTCAATCTGTTAATGTGTTATATCACATTTATTGATTTGCATATGTTAAACCTTACTTGTATTCCAGGGATAAGATCACTTAGTCATGGTACATGATTCTTTTAATGTGCTGTTGAATTCAGTTTGCTAGTATTTTGTTGAGCATTTTTGAATCCATATTCATCAGGGATACTGGCCCACAGTTTTCATTTGTGTAGTGTCTTTATCTGGCTTTGGTATCTGGGTAATGCTGACCTCATAAAATAAGTTTGGAAGTGTTCCTTCCTTTTCAGTTTTTAGAAGTGTATGAAAAAAATCAGTGTTAATCTTAAAAAATATATATTTGGTAGAATTCACCAGTGAAACCGTCTGGACTTTTCTTTGTTAAGAAGTTTTTGATTACTGATTCAATCTCCTTACTAGTTATAACTCTGTTTTGATTTTTTAATTTGTTCATGATTTGGTCCTGGTACACTGTATGGTTCCAGAAATTTATTTATTTCTTCTAGGTCATCCAGTATGATGGTGTATAATTGTTCACAGTAGTCTCTTATGATCATTCTTATTTCTGTGCCATCAGTTGTAATCTCTCCTTTTTCATTTCTGATTTGAATCTTCTCTCATTTTCTCAGTCTGTCTAAAAGTCTGTCTATTTGGTTAATCTTTTTAAAAATCAACTATTAGTTTTGTTGATTTTTTTAAATTGCTTTTCTAGGGTCTCTATTTATTTCTGCTGTAACCTTCATGATTTCCTTCCTTCTTCTAGCATTGGCTTATTTTTTCTTCTTCTTCTGGTTTCTTACGGTGTAGAGTCAAGTTCATTATTTGGGATTTTTCTTTTTTCTTCAATGTAGGTGTTAATTGCTATAAACTTCTCTCTTGGTATTGCTTTTGTGACATTCCATAAGTCTTGGCATGTTGTGTTTTTGTTTTTTTTAATCTCAAGAGATTTTTCTCATTTCTTTCCATTTTCTGTGATGCAATGGTTGTTCAAGAATATGTTGCTTAATTTCCATATATTAGTGAATTTTCCAATTTTCCTTTTTTTATTGATTTCTAGTTTCATAATGAAATGGTCAGAAAAGATATTTGGTATTATTTCAATCTTCTTACATTTGCAAACTTGTTTTATGACCTAACACATGATCTATCTGAAGAATGTTCCATGTGTGCTTGAGAAGAATGTATACTATTCTGCTCTTGGATGGAATGTTTGTCTTTAGGCCCATACAGTGCGGTTCAAGTCCTCTTTTTCCTTATTGATCTTATGTTGAATGTTCTATCCACTATTGAAAGTGAGTACTGAAATTTCCTACTACTGTATTACTGTCTATTTCTCTTTTCAGTTCTGGCAATGTTTGCATCATATATTTAGGTGCTCTAACATTGGATATTAAATATATATATTTATACAAATATATATTTATAATAGTTATATCTTCATGATGAATTTACTCTTTTATCATTATATAAAGTTTCTCTTTTTTTCTATGACAGCTTGACTTAAAGTCTATCTGGTTGATATAAGTATATCTACCTTTGCTGTCTCTTTTTGTCATGATTTATGTGAAATATCATTTCCTACCCTTTCACTTAAAGTCTGTGTGTGTCCTTACGTCTAAAGTGAGTCTCTTGTAGATAATTTATAGTTGGCTATTGTTTTTATCCATCTGGCTATTCTATGTATTTTTCTTGAACAGTTTAATTAATTTAAATTTAAAATAAGTATTGAAAGGGAGAACTTACTATTATCATTTTGTTAGTTGTTTCTTTCTGTTTTGTAGCTCTTTTGTCCCTTTTTCCCTGTCTTGCTCTCTTTGTGTTTCATTGATTTTTTTGTAGTTCTATACTTTGTTTCCTTTCTCATTTTATTTTGTATACCTTCTATAGGTATTTTCATCATGGTTACCATGGAGTTTACATGCAACATCTTATAACAATCTCTTAAGCTGATAACAACTTAAGTTCAATTGTATAGCAAAACTATACTTTTGCTTTACTTGTTTGAATAAAGTAGAAGTGGTAGTAGCTCTTTTCTTCTTGTTCATCTGTACTACTATAATCTTCATGCTGCAATTTCTTTAAGCCACTTATTTTGTGAGGACTGGTTTCAGTAAAATGAAATCAAACATTCCTAAAAATCCACTTCACCAGCTATTTTCTAAGTGTAATGAACTAAAAAGTAAAGGCACCACTATTAAACCCTGTGCCTTATGGGATTCCCTGTCTTCTTTCAGCTCTTGAAACTAAAAGATACATGAAAAGCTAATAAAGGCACCAATTGAGGGCACCAGTCTCAATCCACGGAGTAATACTGTTAAAGCTTTTTCTGTTCTTTACTACTAGAGTTGAAACAAAGTAAAAACACAAAAAATTCCTAGTAGGTCTTTCCAGCAACACTCATATCTTTTCAAGAACACTCTTGTCTAGTCCATTTTGGAAAGTACGCACTTGAATAATCTGAAGTTTACCCTCTAATTTGATCAGATGACCACATAGTATTGTACCACATGGTTTGATCTTTCAAATAACTGAATTTGTTCATACAAGCCTTTTTTTGATATGCCATCATAATAAACTAAGAAGCATTATAAGAAAAAGCCCAATGAAACATACTTTTGCTTTCAAAGTAGTGGTATTATCTAAAGTGTTTAATTCATCACATCTTCAGTATCCACAGGACCATTGGTTTGCTGTGATATTACATATAGCGTGAGGATCATGTAAATTACCATATCCCTTTTTGGCATCTGTGGTTAGGAAGAGCCATTTTGTGGACCATCTCTAGAAAGTATACTAGACTTCCTGCTGCCCATGTACGTATTAACGCTGCTTCATGTCTAGTTTAAAATTTTCCACTGGTATTTGCCCTCTGTTTCATTTCTTCACTTAGCAATTTCTGTTGAGCAGAAATAAGGTGTATACTACCTCAAATCTTTTTTGAAATAGGGTAGAAAATAAGTTATTATAAAGAGAAAAAATAAATACAATACAAATAAACAAATATTCCTCTAACTTTAAAAAAAGTAAGTTTGACAATACAAGTAAAATGCAGAAGTCTAGAAAGACAGGTATTCTAGAAAGACAGGTATTCAAGAAAGACTTAGAACTCCCAGGTCCTTGTGCTGAATTACAACTGCAAGCAATATATTTTTAAGTGTTTATTAAAGAAAAAGAAAGCACAAAGTTTCAGGAAAGTAAATGCATTAGGGACTAGAAGAGAGACAAATCAGAATGCTGCTTGGGTGTTTGGAGTCTTTGCTCCAAGCATAAAACTTTCTTTTTCCATAGAAACACTAAATAAATAAAGACTGATTTGATATATAAAATCTCAGCTAGAAGGAAACTGAACTACAACCCTAAAGTCAGGCCACAAACTCTTTGAATTCCTTCCATGCTCACAATGATTCCACCATAACCAAATAATAGGGACACTGTAGCCTGGCTATCAAATCCATAAATACAGTAACATTCCAGGAAATATTCCCCATTTTCATGAAAGATTACAATTAACAAGTAATTATTCCAACCTGATTTATTAAAATTTGTTTGACTGTCATGAAACCTGAACACTAGTTTAGTAAATTAAAGTTTCAAGGGGAGAAAAAGATTGACTTTTCCCTCCAGCAATGATATCAGTGGTTCAACATACTAGAGTATGTAATTTCAAAATAATCAAGCAGCTGTAAGTAAAATGGATTTCAATGAAGTCTGTATTACTGCAGCTTAATACAAAAATAAGTAAGAATTTCTATCTTGGTTGAGTCAAGCAAAAATCAATATTGAAAAAGACGATAAGAGAAATATATACCAGTGATGCTGTTCTCAGCATAAAAGCAAGAAATTATCAAAATAACAAAGAGAATGATTAAGATAAATAAGAAAGACATAATAATGATATTTGCACTACCTTATCAGACCAAAAAAAATGGAAAAGAGATAATAAAATGGGAAACTTTCAAAACCTGAGAGCTTAAATGGCAACCATGAATACTTCCAAATTAAATATCCTGGTAAGCTGGAAATGCTAGTTTTCTAGTCTGCTAAACAAAGAAAATTCTAAGAGCAAACTCTTCTTGCTATAGCATGTTAAAATGAAGAGGAGACCAAATAAATATTTAGAGAAAGGTAAAACAGCCTAGCCATTGTATAGAAGGGTGCCAAATGTTAGTGGACATATAAAAAGTGGTGAAGAGTTTCAAGTTTCACATGAATTGTTCCATCTTCAAGGGAGTGGCTGAGAACAACCGATGACAATACTTGAGGGAGGAAACACATCAAGTCACTGCACAAAAGCATCCAGAATTACCACAGTATGTTCCTGTGAGTCAAACAAATGATCTGAGGTTTTATTTGGGGTACCAAAGGAAAAGCTACACAAGAATGTTTCATAACATTTTCTTGAAATTCAAAATAGAATTTATTAAGATTGGTTCAATAACATAAAATGGTAAATTGGGGGGCTTTAAGGTGTGCTTCAGTGTCACAAATGGAAGGTAAAACATTTTATGAGTTGAGCTTTTTAACCTCTTTTAGACAAATAATATCATAGCTCACTTCCTTCAACTCAGGGATTAGGAAATGGATATTGTGTTCTATGACAACCACCTGTGTGATTCCTAAAGTTAACAAGTGCAGTTCAGCTCTACCACCAACTGTGTGACTTTGGGCCAATTATCCTTTCAGAGTCTCTTTCTACAAGTGGGGTGGGAAAAATAATGGAATATGTTTTGTAAAGTTTTTTGGTAGACAACCTGTTACATATGAAAGGTTTACTACAAGGTAGGGTGGAAGAACAACTTAGTGGGAAAAAAGAATAATATAAGTATTGTGATAAAGTATTTTAAAACTTAGAAGAAAGTTAAAAATTGCTAGAAAAGACTGGGTACAGTGTCTCACACCTGAAATCCCAGCACTTTGGGCGGCCAAGACAGGAAGACCCCTGGAGGCCAGGAGTTTGAGACCAGCCTGAGCAATACAGCAAAATCCCATCTACACAACAACAAAAAAAAATTAAAAATTAGCCTGGCATGGTGGCATGCACCCGTAGTCCCAGTTGCTTGGGAGACTGAGGCAGGAGAATTACTTGAGAGCAGGAGTCTGTGGTTGCAGTGATCCATGATCATGCTACTGCACTCCACCCTGGGCAATGGAGAAAGACCCTGCCTCTAAAAAGAAAAAAAATTGAAAAGCAAAAAATAAACAACAGTGAAATTACTAGAAAAATATGTGCTTACTCAAGAAAAAGTTGAGAGCCAAAGTAAGATGAACCAATAGTTAATAATATTCCCTAACTCAAAAAAGGAAAGAAAGGGGGAGGGGGGGAAGGCCATACAAGACCCAGATAAATTTACAGCAAGAAGTAAATGCTAGCAAACTTTGAAGGAACTCACCTTTCCAATCACACACACTATGCTATAAAATTGTTAAAGTAAGAAGCAACATACCCCACCCCTTAATACTCAAAGCAGACAAGTGCAGTATAAAAAAAGGAAAATTATAGACCAAAATCCTAAAAAAATTAACAAACTGAAGCCAGCAAAATATAAAAATAATAGATTATATATTATAATCAAGTAGGCTTTAATCACAAAATGCAGGAGAGTTTTAACAACAGCAAGCTGTAATTTAGATTTAATAGCAAAGTAAGGGGGATGGGCAGGACTCTTGTCAACTGCAAAAAGTATTTGATAGGGGTCAACATCTATTCACTTCTTTAAATCTCTTTAAAAACTAGTAATAGAGCTTCTCTTATCTTATAGCTCATTCATCTTCCAAAAACATTGGTAATACTCCCTTTAAAATCAGGAATAGCCAGGCATGCTATGTGCACACTTATAATCCCACCTACTACGGAGGTTGAGGCCAGAGGTTCTCTTGAGTCCTGCAGTTCCAGGCCAACTCAGGCAACATATGAAGAGCCTCTTAAAAAAAAAGGCAGGAATGAAACAAGAGTATCCACTATCCACTATGATTGCTTTGCTTTCTTTCTTTCAACAGTGAAGAAATCTGTCAGCTGAGAAACAAGGAATAAAAATGGGTAGAAGACTTGGAATAAAAAGCAATATAACTGTGATGATTTGCACATAATATAAATGTTGATGGAGGTAATTTATTTTTGCATAATAGCTAAGAAACCCAAGGCATATGAGAATAAATCTCTAGAAATTTGTACACAGTCATTATATAGAAAATGATAAATATTATTGAAAGTATTAATAACGGAGAGGAATAAAGTGTTCATTAATAGGAAGACTCAATATCACTCAGGATTCTCCCCATACTGATTTATGGAGTCAATGCTATTTCTATGAAAATCCCAAAAGCTTTCATCCAAACTGACAAGCTAATTGTAAAATTCATATAAAAAAGCAACAGCCTTGGAATAGCCAAGACAATTCTAAAAAGAAAATAAAGTCTTATGAAATCTTCAGTAATTAAGATAGCGAGGTTCAAAGGTGGACTAATTTACCAATAGAAGAAAATTAAGTCCAGAAACAAGGCCAGATATAAATGGAAATAATGTATAACAGGGAAGGAACAGACTATTCAAAACGGTGCCCAAATCATTGGTTAGATATATAAAATAAAATAAAATTGGTTCTGATTACACTATCCACAAAAATATATTCTCAATGTAATGAAGACTTAGATGAAGAAGTCAGAAGTTGAAGCCTTTATAAGAACATAAAGGAAAATAACTTTGTGATTGTGGGATAAAAAATATTTTCCTAAGTAGAAAACAAAAAAATTCTAACCATAAAAAAATTTTTTTGATAAATTAAATTAAAATTGATAAACTAAATTAAAATTAAATTTTCACTTCATCAAAATTCACCTAAAGAAAGTAAAAAAGAGCTAGGTTCAGTGGCTTACACCTGTAATCTCAACATATACGGTGGCAGAGGCATGATGATAACTTGAGCCCAGAAGTTTTGAGACTAGCCTAGGCAAAATAGCAAGATCTTACTCTCAACAAAAAGAAAAGAAAAAAAAGAAGGTAGAAAAAATACACCATAAACCGTGAGAATGTATTCACTATATACACCCATAAACTGGTATAATATGTTGGCTATCTACCTATCCAACAAAGCACATATATATATACATATTATATATATATTATATATAATATATATATAATGTATATAATATATAAAGAATTCCTTCAAATCAATATGCAACAGATTTATAACACCAAAGTAAAATGGGAAAGCGACAAAAAAAACATGAATATCCAACAAGTAAATAAACAAACAAATAAAAAGCTGATCAACCTGATTAGTAATCTGGGAAATGCAACTTAAGACCATTGTGAGATATCTTTTTACCCATTAGACTGAGGGAAACAAAAGGAGCAGTATGACAAATGTTTATGAGCATGTGCAGCAACTGGAACACTTACATGTGTTGGTAGAAGTGTAAACTGATGCATCCATTTTTGAAAATAATTTGGCATTGTTTTCTAAATCTAAACATGTGTACCCTGTGACTGCTGTTTCATTCCTAAGGAAAGGCCCCAGGGAAAATCTTGTATATGTGTACCAACAAATATATATGAAACATATAAAATGTTCTGCTATTGTTGGCAACTGCAACAACAAACAAACAAAAGTCTATCAACAATAAAATAGATAAGTAAATTGTGGGATAATTATACAATGTAATAATAAATAGTAAACCTGAATGAATGCATTGTATTGGCAAAGTTAAATTTCTTTAGTTGAGTATGGATTCTGTCCATTTACTTAGCCCTCTTTATTTATGAGTGGCCAAAAAGATTACATTATCTCATGCTTGCATTCTCACCTGAGATGTTTTTCCTTTGCATCTTGTAATTAATTCCTCCTTGTCCTTCAAAATTCAACACAACTGTCCCTTCTTTAAAAGCTACCCCATCCTTGAGATTACCTTAAAATACGCTCATGAAGCAACACATGGAAACTCCTTTATCATGAAATAGATCTTACTATTAACAAATGTTTTTGCTTATATTTCTTCTACTACAACCTTATAATGTAGCGACTTCATTAGACTATCAGCAAACCACAGAAAGTGAAGAGATTTTTATATCCCTAGTGTAACACATAAGGCCAGGCACGTAGTAAATGCCCAATAAATACATATACAAATACATGTTAATAAACTAGTGAAAGAATGAATGGATAAGAAAATGAACATAGGCAGGGCACAGTGGCTGATGCCTGTAATCCCAGCATTTTGGGAGGCTGAGGTGGGCGGATCACTTGAGCCCAGGAGTTCAAGAACAGCCCGGGCTACATGGTGAAACTCTACAAAAAATTAAAAAATTAGCCAGCCATGCAGGCACATGCCTGTAGTCCCAGCTACTCAAGAGACTGAGATGGGAGGATTGCATGAGCCCAGGAGACAGAGGCTGCAGTGAGCCAAGATTGCACCACTGCACTCCAGCCTTGGTGACACAGGAAATCCTGTCTGAACAAAGAAATAAAAAGGAACATAAAGTATCAGAAACAACATTCAGGATTACTATCAAACAACTATACTGTGCTTGAAGATCATTTCTCTTGGGAGGCTCACCTGACATGGCCCATTCCTGTCCTGGAGTAGGGAGTAGTCTGGTACACATGGGTAAGCAGGTGTATCTCCTTCTTCCATAAACCTTCCTACCTGGCTCAGAAGTCAATATTACATCCTTGAGATAAACAAGCAGTCAGTGGCTTGATGGAATAGAATTGGGGGAGGGCTTAGGAGAAGAGCATGAAGAATGAACTCAACAAGCCTTGAAAACAGCTATTTATCTAAGTTTGTGGCTAGAGTTCTATCAATAGAGCTTAAGGCTAGAAGTCTTAGAGCCTCATTAACTTATCAGATATTTCAAGTCATTCAGTTTAAAAGTCTTCATTATCATGCACACAAATTATGCTTTAATTAGATAAAAGGAAGAAGTGATATAGCAAAAAGCACAGAAAATTCCACTTCTGAAATAGGATGCTTTAGTACAGTATACAGCCCTAGGGAGACATGGGGGACCCTAAGTGCAGTATGGAGGACATCAAAGAGAATGTCACCCAATGGCTGGGGGAGGGGGGTAATGGATAAACAGAAAATAGGAAGATACACATGGAAAAAGTGCTACTTACCAGTTGTGCCTAGAACGAATCCTTATATCCTTCTTTCCCTTGGCTCTTTTGGATCTAAGTATAGCAAACCCAGAGATTTCTTAAAAAAATATTGGAGTTACTTATTTGTTTCTAGGCCATGAATTTTTAGGACATTTTTAAGTACAAAATATGTCTTGGCAGTACCCAGCCCTCTGCCCATTGACTTCCTAGAAATTGTGTCATAAATAAAATTGTGTCATAAAATAAAAAAACCACAAAGTAAACTGTTTTTACCCATATGAAGAATATTATAATTCAGAATTAAATTCTGACTCAAAGGCTTAGTGTCAAAATTATGAAAATAGTGACTGAAGAACAAGTCAGTAAAATTAAAATCATAGAAACCTGAAATTTAGTAATTTAAAAATCACAAACTTTAACTTCAATAACCAAAGATTGGTGACAGATATTTAAAATACTGTTTGTAAAATATATTATAAGGTGTATAAAAATCACCAGACACTGCAAATTTACTTACCATAAATTTATCATAAATCTGTCATACTATTATGCTACTACTTCTCCCACAACTATAAGAACAAAGATAATCAAACAATACCTCTTAAATGACACCAATTTTATTTAGAATTTAGAAAGACTTCGAGAGAGTTTTCTTTTAGTCTAAAAGAGTTTGAAGTGATGCCTTCTTCAAATAATACTTCAAGAAAAAAATAGGCATGTAAAGAACATTAATACACTAACCTTAGGACTGTCTCAATTAAAGTGAGTATTTAACATATTTCTATTATTATATGGTAATAGTGATGAAAGTGGTGGTGTTTCTTTGACTAAAAAATTCTTGAATAGGAAAGTCTGACATGCCGTTTTTTCCCTTCCACTCTTCTCCTAAGCAGAGATAACATGCATTAGATTAACTAAGGGCAGTCACCAAAGGGAAGTAGGGAAGTCACTTAAAATCCTGTCTAAAGCCACTTGAAATCCTGAAATGATATTACCTGAAATGATGTTTATTTGAAGTCAATTCTCATTATGAGTAAAACAGAATAGTACATTTTCAATGAAAGTAATCATTATGAAAACAGTATTTCTAATGTAAAGAGAAAAAATGGAATATAAAATGTAATTGCATGATTCCAGTCATGAATCCATGTAAATATAGTAACAGAAACTGTTATGTAATTGTATATGTAATGTTGTAGGCTTAACATATTTTTCCCTATATCTTATATTGTATAATTCGGTAGGTTTATGAATTTTGTTCCCATTATTTTTTTTATATTGCAATATTTTTAGGAGAAAAAAAGAAACAACTACAACTAAGCCTAGCCATCAAGCTTTATAAAAAGCCTTTTAAAAACCCTCACAGGGCCAGGAACGGTGGCTCTAATCCCAGCACTTTGGGAGGCTGAGGCAGGCGGATCACAAGGTCAGGACATCAAGTCCATCCTGGCCAACATGGTGAAACCCCGTCTCTACTGAAAAAAAAAAAAAAAATTAGCTGAGCATGGTGGTGCGCGCCTGTAGTCCCAGCTACTCAGGAGGCTGAGGCAGGAGAATCTCTTGAACCCGGGAGGCGGAGGTTGTAGTGAGCCGAGATCGCGCCACTGCACTCCAGCCTGGCCAGTCTGGGCAACAACAGCGAAACTCCATTAGAAAAAACAAAACAAACAAACAAAAAAAAAACCCTCACAGAATTATGAAAACAGAAACCTCGTGCTAGCTATGGTTACAATGTAATGATCCTGTGGCTGGACAATGGAACTAAATAAATGTATGGATTAAAGGCGAAAATTATTCATCAAATAACAATGAATGGAGGGGTAACAAATTAGAGAAGTAAAAAAGGGATCATATTCACTAAAATATAAGTGTAGATATGTTATACATGCAATCAGTCTTGTTAATAAAAACAAATAAATAAAACAGATTTTTAAAACTATATTCACAAAATAAAGTGACTCAAAACTCAAAGTAAAAATGGAAAATGTTTTGCCTAATAAAGTAGGTCGTTTAAAGTGCTAACAATGTTTAAAACAAATATAGCTGTTACTATTGATAAGAAAAACTTCAAAAGCAGAAAAAATATTTTGACATGACCACTCTAAGTATATTAAAATGTTAATACTGTTCTAAAAGGTAAAGATCATATATTAACATACTCTTTTAAAGTTGTAGTTTCTAGCCAACTCTGCTAAGCAACAAAGAACTGTTTCCACTTTCTTTACTGTTGTTGAAATCGACCTTATGATCTCCTTACAATTGGATAATAAATTTTTATCACTGAAATGGTTTAAATCAACATATAATTAAAATTTTATATAATCTTTTGTATTTGAAAAATTTTATAAAATTATAATTTTGATTAGTATACAATCTACTTATGAAAGTTAGTATAATTAATCTTTTTCGAAAACTAGTAGCTTTTAAACTAAAATGAATTGAGACTTCAGTTGTTTGGGTTCAGTTGCAATGCTGAATATTAAGTTAGTCTTTCACTTCATATGTTTCTTGCCTGAACTCAGGCTAAAATAGTAGCTGGTTTGGGGAGGAGACTGCAGGGTCCTCCATTAGGCAGTAAATATATATAAAACTTGTAAAGGAGTTCAGGACGGCAGCTGGTACCAAAATATATCAAGCATGATTTGATATAATAATACGTAATTGCATAAACATGTATACTGTTGCTATAGAAATGTGGCTGTTTGGGATAAATAATACTAACTATCCTTAATGATTGACAGTGTCCAATATATGCAATTTAAACAGCACATAATAGAACCACACTGCAATTCTGCCAGACAAGTGAAGACTATTCTTTCATAGTTAATCTATTCAGTGCTTGACACTCATTGGACTTTCCTTAACTTAGATTATTTTTTACTTGTTTTTATTCTATCTTCTTTCTCATATCAATTTCATTTCTGCTTATTATGTCTAGAAATAAAGAATGTGGCTTTCTTGATGAGCTTTCTGTCTTTAAGTACTACATAGCTCTGAAGAGTCTCTCCCACTGTGTAAAACTATTATTTTCATATGGCCCAGGGGCATTTTTTGCACATGCTACTGCCATAAGCCAGACCTATATTTAAGAACTGCCTTGTAATTACTGCTGCTTGGTGAACAGGGATGTAGTGCAAAGAATAATTTTTCTGGGGGTAAAGCTGAGGGCCACATCTACTACTCTAACAATATATGTATCTAACCCATGAATTTGAGAACGTGTGGGCAGAGAGATGTCATTTTGTATTTGGAGAGTAGAGGGTACTGTAACACAATTACAGCAAGGTTTTTAAAACAAAGGTCTAAAATTAACACTTCATATTGTAGACTAATAGTACATCGGCAAGTTAATTCATTTTCAGGATTAAGATCATTTCAGCCAATGTTTATGAGTGTTAGCACTTTCTGAGGTATGGGGGACAGAGTCCTCACAGTCTAATAGAGAAAACAGATACAATAACTATTCACTGTAATGTAGTAAAGGTATCACATGTGTACAAAGTATGATCTTAAAATCATAAAAGCTGTAATAAAACCTACTATCATGGCCATCCATGCCTAAGCTGAGAAGGGGTCTTACTCAGAGAGGGACCAAGAATCAATCATTCAGTAGACAACACTATTGGGATACTTGCTAAAATTAAAGTAGTTTTTATTTGTGTTTACTCCATCACCTTTCCCATATAGATTTCATTTCTATGCATGAAAAGCACAGAATAAAACAAGTCATGGAAATAACTGAGAATACTCACTTAAGCACTATCTGTGGATAGAGCATGTTATATAGCAGATTTGGAGTTATCTGCCTCTAATTAGCAGGAATTGTGGTACCCATTAGACTTCATTACTCTGATTCCAGTGGCAAGACCACACCTATGGTACAGTTACACCAGATTGTTTGGCCCAATGCCATAAAATATCTGACATATCAACCTCCTTTTAATTTGGATTACACAACTACCAGACAACCTTGTGATTATAATTATTGTTATCTAGCTTCCAGTGTTTCTCTGCCTATAGGAAAAAAAAAAGTGTCTCATGACCAAATTCCTCATTTTAAGTTAATAAACTGATTCTACACACACAAATAGAACTCATGGATCTTAGGTTTTCTAACCATTTTGTTCCTAGTAAAATAATTGCTCACAGTAAATCAATAAATTAATCTTTTTAGTCTTAAACACTAATTTAAACCGAGAAGTTAACACAAATCTATTCTCAAAGAAGCAGGTCCATTTTACAGGCTTAGGGCCAGAGCCCAGACCATGACAGGAAATAAATGCTATTCTTCAAGGCCCCCTACAGAGGGCCTGCCAATCCCATTTTTTAATGACAATAAACTGATAATATCAATTTCTACAAACCATGCGTTTTACTTCCTTTTTTGTTAATTCCAAGGTATAGACTGGAAGATATTATCTCCTATAATGACCTAGCTTACAATTCTATCCTTCAAATAGTTATTTTAAAACATTATCTGTTCTATTTGGTGATAAATAACACTCAAACCATAATCATGAATGTAGTTGCCAATTGATTAGAAGGACTTTAATGTCAATAAGGGGATTATTTTTAAAATTATCAAATCAGAATATTGTTATTATATTTTAAACTGCTAATGCCTAGATTTCATTCTGGCCAGAATAATTTACTTAAGAAATTTGGATAAAACCAGACATTAGTAATCCATTTGCTTCATGTAGTTTTCTTTTGTTTCATCTTGTTTGAGATGGAAAGTGGAAACAGAGAATGTGGAAGACTCAGTATTTTATCTCGTAATAATGATCCACAAAATTGAACAGCATAGCAATTCAGACACCAGAAATCCACACAATAGAATAGCATAGAAACTCAGACACCAGAAATCAGAGACGTACACTTAAGAGATTAAACTAAGAGATTTATAAAATAATATCACCTATAAAACATAAAGCAAATGTGTTCAAAATTCTCTACTAGAAACCAAAATTGCAGTGAAGGCATATATTACATATACAATATATAAAAATATATAAAATGTAAACATAATACAAAATCTAAAAATGCTTTTCTTATTATTTTTAACTCTTAAACTTACGCTGCACAAGCTTCCACTGTATTAGATCAGTTCAGTGTCAACTACCATGAAAAATATTGACTGCAGTGACTTACAAATATTGGTATATATAATAGCAATTTGAATTGGATCTCATAAATGCCGAACAGAAAAACTTCAGGAAAAATTCATAGTATAATTGATTGGAGGAATTTATGTTTAATGAGAGTGTCTTGTGTGGAAGCTCTATTCCTTTCGCCGCACATGTTCATGAGGCGACTTTTGATCAAGAAATGCCATTAGCTTCATTCTGTCCCTTCACTTCTTACTATAAGAGGGGCAGAGAATCGTCTGACTGGGAAGTTTAAGAAAATATACTGAACATGGACAGCTCAATTCCTTTTTCTCAGTTCAATTCTTTCTGTAAAGAAGATGAATTCAGGCCTGTTTTTGTCCCTGCCTCTGTGATAGAGGATTGTGAATGCCCAGCTCTGCCAGTGGCTAGGTAGGTATAATGTCTAATTTAGAGGTGAAGCCTGTTTTATCTGCATATATAATGCATGTCCTCCAATTCAGACTCTACTGAGGTAATAAAACAGTTATTTTGAACTCTATCTGCCTGGCACCTGTGTCTGTCTCTCAGAAATTTCCAAATTTTGGATGGGAAATTGCTTGATTTTATCAGAGTGGTCTGATAAAGTGGGGGTAGAAATCTATATAGATTTTGTACTGTAAGACCGTCTATTCGTATTCATTCATTGATTCAGTATTTACTGAACTTCTATGTGCCAGGTACCATTCAGGCCCAGGGATATGACAGAGAAGAAAAAAAAAAAAGCAGTATCTTAACCAATGCTAAGTACACACTGTACTAATGGTACATCAGTAAGGAGCTAGAAAGAGGAATACACCTGCATTTTCTTTATCATGGATTTCAGACTATAAACCGTAGTATTTCAATATATGGATTACAACAAAAAAATTATAGGCTTACATAATCTTCAGATATGTAACCATTTTGAACTTAAAAAACAGAAATTTTCTTATGGTTGAACCTAGTAATCTGGCATACAGAAATATGCAAATTTTATTATCTTGAAACCATAAAAAATCATGTAAATACTGAAAAATCTGTAATAAATTTAACTTAATTAATGATTGCAAACAAATTTCAATGTAAAATGGGGATTGATGTGACAAAACCACTTCTGCAGATTAATTGGATCTTATCAGTTCTGGGTAATAACCATTTCCTTCCCCACGATAAAACAACAAAAGAAGTATTTGTGTTCTTTTAATACAATTGAGTATTAAAGATTAAATATCAAAAGTATCACTGATTTTCTTGTAATATAATTAATTATTAAGGATTCACATTAATAATAATACTTAGTCCTTATAAGGTGCCTCCTACATTTAAAATGCTTTACAAATATCAATTCTAAAAAATATTAATAGTGCAACTCAAGATGGATTATTTTAATATGTTTCAAATATAAACTATATCCAAAATGCTTTAAAAAGCTGAAAACCAGTAATTTTAAACAAATTCTCATAAATTGTCATCTAGCTTAGACCAAAAGAAATAGCACTTTTTATATTTCTGAAAGATTATCACTACTAGGATATCATCATAGAATAGATGGCATTTTCCCCACTGATGTGAGAGTTGTTTTGCTCCCTAGGAAACTAACAAAATGCTTAAAAATTGCATACTGAGCCCAGAGTTATGCAAAGTTTGGGAGTAAAGTAAGCAGAAGGAAAAGAATGGGTTTTGTCAGCAGGAGTAAGGGGGGAAGGCAGTGACTGAGCAACGACCCCAGCAGAGGTAGGGCCAACCTGCAGAGCTCTGTGGCCCTCCACACCAGCCTGAGGTACATCAGCCTATACCGTGTCTTGATTGTTACTGCATCTCAGTATATACAACATACTAGTTTATTACAGGCCTCTGAACTTCAGTAGCCATGGTAAAAAGGATATAAGATGATTTTCTTAAAGCAGTAAGAATCTGTATAAAATATTACACAGTTACTTCTTTGGTTTTAATCTCTAAAATCTCAGTTGCAGATAGGCTTTGGTTTGCCAAATTCATGACCCTAAGAAGTCTAAATGAAAAAAGTCTTGTAAATTCTACTTTTGCTGTTTAAGTCATAATTTTAGGGATAAAAATGTGTCCACTTGTGTGCTGTATAGTAGGACTGTGAGCTCTTGATCAAATTGCTTGGTTTTATACTCTGCCCCTGAGAGTGACCTTAAGGTAGTCATCTAATCTCTCTGTGCCTAAGTAAAATGGGAATAAGAATAGTGATATCATGAAGAGTAAGTGAACAACAAACTAAATACAAAGACTGAAATCTCACATGGAGCAAACATTCAAAATGTATAAAATGTGGTCACTACAGAAAAATCTTGAAGATGAGACTGATAACATTTCAGAAGAAAAATTACAGTTTAATAAATAAGTGTATCCTACAGAAATTTGTGGTAGTATCCTATGCTCTCACTTTCCTTTCCACAAAATTAACTCAGAAGATTTAAAAGCATATTTTCTCCTATAGTCTTCTTTACTTAGGTGAGCATATCTTTACTAAATCTGTTGCAAGTTCAGAGCTCTGGTGTGGTTCAAATCCCTGCTTCTTTGCGTATCAACATTTGCTAAGTTAACAGATTTTCCCTAAAGCCAATTCTTATTAATTGTTATAACAATGATTAACTTAAAATATTTTTATACTATTATATGTAGTTTTCATCATAGCATTCAAATCAAGCTTGAGTCTAAATAAATAAAATGGCTTAGGTAACTAAGAGTTGGGTCATATTGAAGAGTCAACTGAGGATAAACTCAGAAGTAATACTTAGTTTTTAAAATGACAAATTCAAATTGCTATAAACATTAATATAGTTTTTAAAGATATATAAGATATGAAGCTGTGAGATAAAATTTAGCCCATGGGAATACATTAATTATATATGTTTACAAATTATGTAGGTCAAATAAGAATCAAGATTATGTCAACTGACATTACTAAGTTATTGTGAATATTATTTAAGTAAACAAACTTTATATCTGTTGATACTCTTCAGATGCTTACAAACTGAAATGTTTTCTATTTATGAATTTTAAATTCTCCAAAATGTACAGTTATTGTTTTAAAACCAGTAAAGACAATATTTGAAATGGAGAGCAAATGATCCTGGTGCAGCCTCCAGATGCACAAAGCTTACAGACCTACTCAACCAGAAAAACATATTTCTTCCTGTAACACTCCTAGTATGAGGCAATTTCTAGAAATACCTATGTAAATAAGATGAGTTAATAAGCAGTTCTGAAATAAGATTTTATAGTATAGATCCAGAAAACAATGGGATAGTGTATGTAACAAATACCACTAACAGAGAAATCTAAAATTCCTGACTGCCTTTAAAAAAAATTCTATCCAGTTTAGTAACACTGGAATACTGACCATAAAGGTCTTCTGTAAGTCAAATTCAGCAACCATTTATCAAGGGCTTACCATGTACATGACACTGCTTCAGCACTTAAAGGAAGCAAAAGCAAACAAGACTTCACTTTCTCACATATATTGTGACTGGAGCAGATGCCAAAGCTGGCACCAAGAAAGCCCATTTACTTCCACAGCCTTTTCCAGCTCAAATGTTTTCCAGTCTCCCGGCAATATTCATTTACAGGATGTTGTTGTTGTTTTTCTCAGAAAAAGACTTTCCCCACCCTTGTTTTTCTGTCTTATTCTATTCTTAATTTATGCCATCTTGTGTTTTATGTATTCTAAGTTGCCTTAAGACTATTCTAGAAAGAGGCAGGGTAAAAAACAACTACAGAAAAAACAAAAATACTTGGAAGAGGAAAGACAAAATATATCGGAACACACTTGAAAGTTGAATTTTAAATGTCAAACTCCTTGTTTTTTTTTTTCTTTTTCAGCATGTCTATTGGCCTTCAGGTCAAAATATCTAGATTTTCATGCTACCTCAATGGAAAAATGAAATTTTAGGTATGATTCTGATTCTCACAAAGCCAGTTTTTTCATCTGTGAGGGTAAAAAACCACCAATTCACAAGATTTTGTTTGCAAATTAAAGAATAGTTGGCATATAAGAGGTGTTCAACAAAAGTGAATTTTATTTCTTTCCTTTACAAACTCATTAGCTATCTTGTTACTAATATTGAAATAAAATGTCAGTTCAATAATATGGCATGCCTTCTTAGCAGAAACACAGCAGACGTGAAAGCAGAACACACACAAAACACTTAAGATAGGAAAACAATATAAAAATAAAGTTGATTTTAAGATCCTGTCTGCACTAATCTCCAATACTTTGCAGAAGGAAACAAAGAATATATATATATATTTTATTTTATTTTATTTTATTTTATTTTATTTTATTTTATTTTATTTATTTTTGAAACTGAGTTTCGCTCCAGTCGCCCAGGCTGGAGATGACACGATCTCAGCTCACTGCAACCCCCGCCTCCTGGGTTCAAGTGATTCTCCTGCCTCAGCCTCCCGAGTAGCTGGGATTACAGACACCCACCACTACGTCCAGCTAATTTTTGTATTTTTAGTAGAGAAGAGGTTTTGCCATGTTGGCAAGGCTGGTCTCGAACTCCTGACCTCAGGTGATCTGCCCTCCCTGGCCTCCCAAAGTGCTGGGATTACAGGCGTGAGCCATCGTGCCCGGCAGAAACAAATTATATTTTTAAAGAAGAAATGGGTCCAGTTCTTCCTCTCTTAGGTACACATGACTCCCGGACAGTGCATATGAAATCACAGTATAAACATTTTCCCTAAAGCCACTTTTGATTAATTTTTCTAACACTGATTAACTTTTAAAAATTTAGAAGAAATAGAAGACAACCAGAAGCAGCTGCAGTCCACAGCACTCACAAAGAGGAATGTGAACGGGGCAAGTGAATTCAGCACCTTCGACTGAAATATCCAAGTTCTCCCATTGGGACTGACTAGGCAAACAGCTCAACCCAGGGGTGACAGCCCATCCAGGAGCGGAACAGAGCCAAAGGAACCCCCACCCTCAGCCAAGGAAAGTGGTGACTGTGTGATCCTACCCGGGAAACCAGCTTTTCCCGTGGATCTTTGCAACCCGCACATCAGGAGATCCCCTTGTGAGCCCACACCACCAGGGACTTGGGTCTGATACACAGAGCTGTGTGGATTCTCAGCAGGGTAGCTGCTCAGGTACACAGAGACCCAGGAGTTTTACATACTCTGGCCCCGGGATCCCTGGTAAGGCAGGAAACCTGCCCATACATATCTTTAGGAAGGGGGCTGAATACAGGGAGCCAAGCAGCGTTGTTCTGTGGACCCCAATTCCACGGCACCTCGTAAGTTAAGACCCACTGGCCTGAAATTCCAACCAGCCAACAGCAGCAAGCTGGAATCTGCCTGAGGCGGGTCCGAGTTCCCAGAGGGAGGAGTGGCCATCATCTCTGCGTTTAGGTAGACTCAGCCGCTCCAGCCTGCTGGCTTTGGAAAATTCAAAGGGTCTGGAGAAGGAAGGGACCCCACAATGCAGCACAACTGTTTTGCCAGAACGTGGCCAGACTGCTTCTTTAAGTGGGACCCCGATCGATTTCCTCCTCACTGGATGGGATCTCGCTGCTGCAGCCACTCCAGAAGGGTCCTACAGATAGAGCTTATCCCTCCCTGGGATGAAGCTCCCATGGAGAGTGGCAGCCGCCATTTCTGCAGTTTGGTTAACTCAGACATTCTAGCCTGCTGGCTTTGGAGAATACAAACAGACCAGATGAGGAAGGGTTTCCCCCAACGCAGCACACCTCCTCTACCAAAAAGCAGCCAGACTGCTTCTTTAAACAGGTCCCTGATCCCATTCCTCCTGACTGGGTGAGACCTCCGAACAGGGGTCTCCAGCCACCTCCTACAGTTGTATTCAGGCAGGTAACAAGTCAGTACTTCCCTGGGACATACAGCTTCCAGGGCAAAAATTTGGCTGCCATCTTTCCTGTTTCGCAGCCATCACTGGTAATACCTCCAGGTAAAGGAAAAACTGAGGCAACTGGGGTCTGGAGCAAACCCCCAGCAAACTGCAGCAGCCCTATGGTAGAGTGACCTGACTGTTAAAAGAAAATCAGGCATAAAACAAGAAGACCAACAACAAAAAAGACTTCAAGACCCCATTCAAAAACCCCATCTTTGAAGTCAGCAACCTCAAACATCAAAGGTAGATAAGCCCACAAAGATGAGAAAGAATCGATGCAAAAACACTTAAAACTCAAAAGCCAGAGTGCCTGTTCTCCTCCAAATGACCATAACACCTCTCCAGCAGGGGGCACAGAAGTGGGCTAAGGCTAAGATGGATGAATTGACAGAAGTAGGCTTGCTAAGGTGGCTAATAACAAACTTTACTGAGCAAAAGAAGCATGTTGTAACACAATGCAAAGAAGCTAAGAATCATGATAAAACAATACAGCAGCCAACAGCCAAAATAGCCAGTATGGAGAAGAACATAACTGACCTGATGGAGCTGAAAAACACAAGATGAGAACTTCATAATGCAATCACAAGTATCAACAGCAGAACAGACAGCAGAGGAAAGAATCTCAGAGCTTGTAAACTCTTTCTGAAATAAGACAGGCACACACTAGAGAAAAAAGAATGAAAAGGAGTGAACAAAACCTCTGAGAACTATGGGATTATGTAAAGAGAGTGATTGCGGTACCTGAAAGAGACAGGGAGAATGAAACAAAGTTGAAAAACATACTTCAGGATGCCATCAAGGAGAACTTCCCCAACCTAACAAGACAGGCCAACATTGAATTCAGGAAATGCAGAGAACCCCAGTAAGACACTCCATGAGAAAATCAACCCCAAGACACATAAGCATCAGATTCTCCAAGATCAAAAGGAAAGAAAAAATGTTACGGGCAGCCAGAAAGAAAGACCAGGTGACCTACAAAGGTAAGCCCATCAGACTAAAAGTGGACCTTTCAATAGAAACCCTACAAGCTAGCAGACATTAGGGGCCAATATTCAACATTCTTAAAGAAAAGGATTTCCAATCCAGAATTTCATATCCAGCCAAACTAAGCTTCCTAGCAAAAGAGAAATAAGCTCCTGTATTAGTTCATTCTCATGCTGCTAATAACGACATACCCAAGACTGAGTAATTTATAAAGAAGAGGTTTAATTGACTCACAGTTCAGCATGGCTGGAGAGGCCGCAGGAAACTTACAATCATGGTGGAAGGGGAAGCAAACATGTCCTTCTTCACATGGGAGCAGCAAGGAGAAGAATGAATGTCCAGCAAAGGAGGGACCCCCTTATAAGCCATTAGATCTCATGAGAACTCACTGACTATCATGAAAACAGGATGGGAGAAACCATGCCATGATTCAATTATCTCCATCTGATCGCTCCAACACCTGGGGATTATGGGAACTACAATTCAAGATGATATTTGAGTGAGAACACAGCCAAACCATATCATTCCACTTCAGCCCCTCCCAAATTTCCTCTACTCACAAATCAAAACACAATCATGCCCTTTGTATTAGTCTGTTTTCACACTACTGATGAAGACATACCTGAGATGGGGAATATACAAAAGAAAGAGGTTTAATGGACTCAGTTCCACGTGGCTGGGGAGGCCTCACAATCATGGCAGGAGGCAAAGAGGAGCAAGTCATGTCTTACATGGATGGCATCAGGCAAAGAGAGAGAGAGCTTGTGGAGGAAAACTCCTCCTTATAAAGCCACCAGATCTCATGAGACTTATTCACTATCATGAGACCAGCATGGGGAAGACTGACCCCATGATTCAATTACCTCCCACCAGGTCCCTCCCACAACACATTGGAATTGTGGGAGCTAAAATTCAAGATGAGATTTGAGTGGGGACACAGCCAAACCATGTTATTCCACTCCTGGCCCCTCCCAAATCTCATATCCTCACATTTCAAAACCAAGTATGCCTTCCCACCAGTCCCCCAAAGTCTTAACTCATTTCAGCATTAACTCAGAAGTCCACAGTCCAACATCTCATGTGAGACAAGGCAAGTCCCTTCCCCCTATAAGCCTGTAAAATAAAAAGCAAGTTAGTTACTTCCCAGATACAATGGGGGTACACGCATTGGGTAAATACAGCTGTTCCAAATGGAAGAAATTGGCCAAAACAAAGGGGATACAGGCCCCATGCAAGTCCAAAATCCAGTAGGGCAGTCAAATCTGAAAGCTCCAAAATGATCTCCTTTGACTCCAGGTCGCACATCCAGGTCATACTGATGAAAGCGGTGGGTTCCCATGGTCTTGGACAGCTCTTCCCCTGTTGCTTTGCAGGGTACAGCCTCTCTCCCAGTTGCTTTCATGGGCTGGTGTTGAGTGTCTGTGGTAGCTTTTCCAGGTACACAGTGAAAGGTGTCAGTGGATCTACCATTCTAGGGTCTGGAGGACAGTGGCCCTCTTCTCCCAGGTCCACTAGGTGGTGACCAAGTAGGAACTCTGTGTGGGGACTCTCACACATGTTGTCCAGGCTGGTCTTGAACTCCTAAGATCAAGCAGCCCGCCTGCCTTGGTTTCCCAAAATGCTGGGATTATAGGCGTGAGCCACCATATCTGGCCTTTTCAGTTATTTTTAATCATGGCATTCAAATAAAGCTTGAGTCAAAATAAGTAATATGCCTCAAGCCACTAAGAGTTAGGTCCTATTGTAGAGTAATCTGAAGACAAATTCAAAAAACTGTTTAGTTTCTAAAATGGCAAATTCAAATTGCTATAAACCTTAACATACTTTTTAAAGCTTTCTAAAAAAGATTTGAGGCTAGGAAATAAAATTCAATTTGTGGGAAGAAATTAATTAATTAGTTAATTAATATGTGTTTACAAATTAAGTAGGTCCAATAGGAACGTAGATGATGTCAACAGGCATTACTAAATTATTGTGAATATTATTCAAGTAAGAATTTGCCTTATATCTTTTTATGTTCTTCAGATGCTTACAAGCTAAATGTTTTATACTGTATTTATGAAATGAAAATAAAAAGCATAATGAAATATCACTTCATACCCACTTAGGATAGCTAAAATCTCCTTACAGTGATGGTGGGATTTTAAAATGGTACAGAGACTTTGAAAACAGTTTGGCCATTTCTCAAAATGTTACACATAAAATTATATGACTCCTAAGTTTTTATCTAACAGAACTGAAAACATGTCCACATGAAAACATGAATGCTCAGAGCAGCATTATTCATAAGCCAAAAAGTGGAAACAACCTAAATGTCCATCAACTACCGAATGGATAAATAAAAACTAGCATACCCAAACAACAGAATATTATTTGGCCAGAAAAAGGAATGAAGTACTGATACATGCTGCAATATGGGTAAACCTTGAAAACATTATGCTAAGTGAAATAAGCCTTATATAAAAGGCACAACACTGTATTACTCAATTTATATGAAATGTCCAGAATAAGAACATCTATAGAAACAGAAAGAATAAGGTTACCAGGGACTACAGAGTAGGGGGAGGTAGTGAGAGACTGCTAATGAGAATGAGGTTTCTTTCTGAGGTGATGAGAATGTCCTACGATTTGATAATGCTGACAGTTGCATAAATCTCTGAATATAGTAAAATAACACTGAGTCATACACTTTAAAATGGTGAATTTTATGCTAAGTGAATTATGTTTTAATAAAGCTGTAATATTAAAAATAAGTCAAACAGGTAGGTCATGTAAGATAGCTCAAAACCTTCATTTAGTAACAAATAATGAAACTTATCAAAGATCTATTCTAGAAAGAGGTATAAAGTGGGAAAATGACTCATGGAGCTTTCATTCCAACAGAGGAAGAGAGGAAATATAGAAACAATTAAATAAGCAAGATAATTACAGTTTGTAATAAGATCATGAAGGAAAATACAGTGACATGACAGATGAAGACTACTGGAGGTCTGCATAAAATGGAATTGTCGTGGAAGGCCTCTATGGGGATTTGATCTAAATAATAAGAAGAAAGCAGTCACAGAGAAAGTGAGGAGGTGTGCTTGCCTGGCTGAGGACTCAGGATGTGCAAATGCCCTCAACCAGGAGATAACCTGGCATGTTTGAGAAACTGACAGGAGGTCAACAGGTCAGAAACATAATATGTGAGGTGAAAAGTAGCAAAAATAATGTTGCAGACATAGATAAGAGTTAGGTCAAGCAGAGACTAGTGACCACAGTAATGAATTTGGATTTTCTTTCTTTCAGTTGAAAGCCACTGGAAGTTTTTAGGCAGGGTATTGAGACTATCTGGTTTACATTTCACAGCTTGCTTTGTCTGTCCTGGGGAGACTTGACTAGATGAGGGCAAGGATGGAAATAGAAAGAGCAAAGATGTGTCTCTAATTGTAGTCCTGGAAAGACGGGTGGTTTGGACCAGGACTGGGATAGCCTTTTTATGGTACTTTAGGTTCTAATCTATTCTCAAACTCTTGGAGTCAAGCGATCCACCCACCTTGGCCTCCCAAACTGCCAGGATGACATATGCATGCCACCAAGCTTGGCCATGGGTTCTAACTATTCTAAGTGTAGTGGATGCTGTGATATGTTGCCCAAACACACTTCTGGGATGAAGGACTTATCTTTCCAGCTACTAAGTTGAAGAGAGACTTTCTAGAATAGCCTTCATCCAATGATCAATGCAGAAGTATAAAGGTCTGAACTCTTGCATGAATAAGGGAGAACTTGAAGAGCCACTTTGCTTCAGAGCTCCCATGAGGTCTGTGAGGCCTCCATTGAAACTACATCCCTCTCCCCAATTCTGCTTTCTTTCTTTCCCTTCCAAAGGTTTGATCTCAAAAATGGTCCCCTAATAATTATATACTGAATGCTAATCTCCATCTCATAATATGCTTCCCAGAGAATTCAATATATGACCTGACTTACTAAAACTGAGTACACAGTCCTTGGGGTTACTTTCTAAAGATGATCAAACCAAAAATATTAAAAACTTGAAATAATAATATGCCTATTTCAAAAATCCTTACCAATGTAGTGATACTCATGAAGCTGTTGTAAAGATTGGAAAATGAATCATTTACTCCACACGGTCATCTGATTCTTACCAACTTGCTTTATACTTGCTTTTCAAATATACTCTTTTAGTCCAGAAAATTTGTGTATTTGGAAACACTGGGCTAAAGGATCTTCCTTTTTTGTTTCTTTTGTTGAGCGCAATGTGTGAGGCTGCATGTGATACAATCGAAATATAAAATCCAGTCACATTTCCCACCCTCAAGAAATTCACGGTCATATATTACTTAATGCTTGGCCATTTCAAAAAACAGAGTAATTCTTTTTTATAAAATAAAGTTAAAATATGGAGACATATTTCCAAATTTCAGTAAAAATTATCACTTTTAAATCTCTGAAATCTTCTCTTTGCTGTATTTTGATCTTCATAACTCACATTAAGGAACACTATACCTTCTCTTTGCTCTGGAAATCTTGCAGCAGTCTACGGCAAAAGGCAATAAAATTCTGATCTGGGCGAAAACTCCAAAGAAAAGATCTTTTCAATGATTTTTTTTTTTTTTTTGGCACACACAACCAACAGCCAACTCTTAGTTATTCAAGACATATAATACTTCGAGGATTATTTAGGTACTCTACTATTTCTGACTTAACTCCCCCATGTTTGCTGCCCTTTGGCCATTTCACTGATGCTTAAAAACCTTTATCAAATAAGAAAAGGGCAAAACTCACATTAGATTATTTAGCTACTAGCAAATACTCTCAAAAAACTGTGACAAACAATTTTGTCACAAAAAGCAAACAATTTTGATAGGCAAGAATATTGTGCGTGATGCCTTAAATGGAATCTTACACTATTTCTATTTTTTTGTTTTGTTTTGTTTTACAACAGTTGTATGAGATATTATCATCGCATGTGAAAAACGGGGAAGGGGAGATGAGGATGAGGTTCAGAGACCATAAATAACTTACCAAAAATCATTTAGCGAATAAGATGCAGAGCTGTGAGTTAAACCCCTTCCTTACTGACTCAGTTCTCAGACTTTTTCTACAGTTGTCTGAGCTGTCTGTCCAATATAGTAGCCACTAGTTACATGTTGCTTTTAAGCACTGGAAATGTGGCTAGCCTAAACTGAGTTGAGCTACAAATGTCAACTATACACTGGATTTCCAGGAAACATTCAAAAAAAGGTAAAATAAATCACTAGTAATTTTATATCAATTACCTGTTGATAATATTTTGGATATGTTGCTTAAATAAAAAGTACCATTGAAATGAGTTTCACCGCTTTTTATTTTGTTAATGTGGTTATTACAATTTTAAAATTACACCTGTGGCTTGTATATACTTTTATCGGACATATTGATCTACAGGAAAAGGTAAACAAATAAAGAAGATGCCTCAGAAGAAGAAGCAGAAAAAAAATTTGTTTAAAATAAGAGATACTTCTGCTAGGAAATGAAATTTGAGGGAAGGGAGGAAGTGGATTTTTTTAAAAACATGTACATATAAAGAACTATTTACAATGAAACATAGACTCAGTAAGAAGTATATTAAATATTACCATGGCAGTGATTAATTCCACCCATACCCTCAATGTAGTTTTTCTATTTATGGTGTTAAGCTGTGTCTTAAGAAATGAAGCAAAATAAAGAAGAAATAAGGAAAATATGAAAAGAATCCAGATCAAGGGAAAGTGTACTCAACTGCAACGTGGCAAAAAACAGGCAGTCGAGTTAGTTGGAGAGAACAGTAGAAAGGAGAAAAGAACTAGCTATATCAGTTTGTAAGCCAAACAGAGCATTTGGCCTTTATTCAAAAGGTGTTGCCAGGTGCTGCCAGGCATGGTGGCTCACACCTGTAATCCCAGCACTTTGGGAGGCCGAGATGGGAGGATCACTTGAGCCCAGGAGTTTGAGCCAAGCCTGGGCAACATGGCAAAGCCCTGTGTCTACAAAAATAGAAAAAAAGAAAAAAAAATTAGCTGGGCCTGGTGGCGCACACTTGTAGTCCTAGCTACTAAGCAGATTGAGGTGGGAGGATCACTTGAGTCCTGGAGACAGAAGTTGCAGTGAGCTGAGATAGCACCACTGCACTACAGCCTGGGCTACAGAGTGAGATTCTGTCTCCAAAAAAAATAAAAAAAGATGGAGATGTAAACTGATCTGTAATTTAAGCAAACACCTCTCACTGGATTGTACAGAATATAGGTAGAAAGACTGGGAAATGCAGGGAAAGAAACTAACATTTATTAAATGTCTCACCTGCATTATGTGATTTGGTTGTCATTGTTTATAGATGAAAAACTCAAAACAAAAATAATTAAGAAAACTTCCATGACCACACAATTGGCAATGAATCCTCAGAAACCATCCAGAGGAAAGAGGATCTGGATGAGTACTGATGCAGACAATTTAGCAAGAAGTGTTTGGAAGGTTTGGAGGCATCATGTCTTTATTTTTATTTGTAAATTAAGCAATGATATTTGGTTGAGGCTGAAAATGAATAGGGGATATGAAAATAGTAGAAAACATTTTTTAGTAGCCAGGAAAATGGAAGGAGATAATCAAGAGAAAGCAGTAAAAGGATTGGTAAGAGGTGTTACACATCTATTAAATAGTAATAAAAGCAGATAAAATTTATTGAGTTCCTATTATATACCAGACACTGGCTAAGCATTTTATATGCACTGTCTCATTTAATCCTCAAAACGTCTAATTAGGGGAGTATAACTATATATCCCTATATTACATATGCAAATTAGAGATTAAGTAACTTGACCTCTTAGCACAAAGGCATGATTTAAACCCACTTCTGTCTGCAGCTACTTAACCAGGTTTCCAATACCACTGTGATGTTAACAATCTAAAATCTCATTCTGTTACAAGGAAAGAAGGTGCCTCATTTTAAAAATAAAAACATGCTAAGGCCTAAAGAGCTTGAAGTGACATATGTAGGATCTCAAAACCAATTCCTGCCAATGCCAGGTCTGGAATTTGGGTTTCAAAATTTCAGATGCAGTGTTCAGGTGTGAATGACTAATAAACTGACTCTTGAAAAACTACCTGAATGGTTGTAACAGACCTGAAATCATTCATGGCATTTTTTAAATCCATGCCTTATAAGCCTATAGCCAGCACATATTAGCACACTGACTTGCACATAGAAGGAACTAAATAAATATTTCTTACAGGAACATACAGAGAGGATGTAAGGGAGAAATGAGGAGAAGGCAAGAGAGAAGGATATTTTCATATCCCCTATTCATTTGCAGCCTCAACCAAATATCATCGCTTAATTTCCAAATAAAAATAAAGACATGATGCCTCCAAACCTTCCAAACACTTCTTGCTAAATTGTCTGCATCAGTACTCATCCAGATCCTCTTCCCTCTGGATGGTTTCTGAGGATTCATTGCCAATTGTGTGGTCATGGAAGTTTTCTTAATTATTTTTGTTTTGAGTTTTTCATCTATAAACAGAGAAAAGGCAGACAGAGTATAGTTTCCAGGGAAGATATCTTGTTTCTTACAGTTTGATTGTGACCAAGTTCCCTGACATAAAACTGACAAGGCATTTGTACTCAAATATTTGACTGCTTAAGGGTAGTATCAAGTAGAGTTTCAGATTTATCACAAGGCAACTGCGCCATTTCATACTCCTGCTTCCTATAGAATTTTCAGTCATTGCTTAAATACAGAAAAATTTTAGTGCTGGATACAGTAGACAGTTCATGTTTTATTAAACTGGAATTTAACATGATTTCAACATTTAGGGTGACTCTAGCACTATATTATCAAGCGTATGATTTGGTTCTAGACATGCTTTAAATCAAAGTTAATCTTTTGATTGTATGTATTCAGTAAAAACAACTATAATCCTTTAATAGAGAAGGTACGATAAAATTAAATAAGAAAACAAAAATATATCAGTAAAATGATCAATTCAAAGTTTCTGTGATTTTGTAAATCAAATTCCTTAAATTTGATTATTTTACAAAAAAATTTAACATTTTTTTAGAGACAGGGTCTCACTCTGTTGCCCAGACAGGGATGTTGTGGAATGAACATAGCTCACTGAAGCCTCCAACTTCTGGGCTCAGTGATCCTCCAGCCTCAGCCTCCTGAGTATCTGGGACAACAGGAACACCACCCAGCTAATTTTTCGTTTTTTGTAGAAATGGGGTCTCACCATGTTGTCCAGGCTGTTCTTGTACTCCTGGGCTCAAGAGATCCTCTTATGTTGGCTTTCCAAAGTGTTGGGATTACAGGTGTGAGCCAGCATGCCCAGCCAAATTAGGTTGGTTATTTATTTA
Organism: Homo sapiens; assembly: GCF_000001405.40. NCBI lineage: Eukaryota > Metazoa > Chordata > Mammalia > Primates > Hominidae > Homo > Homo sapiens. Next base: position 114,201,165 of record NC_000007.14, on the reverse strand, counting down.
TTTATTTTTGAGATGGAGTTTCTCTCTTGTTGCCCAAGCGGGAGTACAATGGCACGATCTTGGCTCACTGCAACCTCTGCCTCCCGGATTCAAGAGATTCTCCTGCCTCAGCCTCCTGAATAGCTGGGATTACAGGTGTGTGCCACCATGCCCAGCTAATTTTTTGTATTTTTAGTAGAAACAGGGTTTCACCATGTTAGCCAGGCTGGTCCCGAACACCTGACCTCAGGTGATCCACCCGCCTCAGCCTCCCAAAGTGCTGGGATTACGGGCGTGAGCCAATGGGCCAGACCAGGTTATTTTTTAATTATGAAAGATGCTTCTTTGAAATGGTCAATGTTTAGAAAAAAGATTTTGAGTGATAGACGTCGTAATAGTAGCATAGGGGAAAAAAGTAATTTACATGAACAAATTGAAGGAAATCCTAAGAGGCATAATCTTACAAAATTTAAGTGAAGTTAGAGGAATGGGAAGGCTAAAATATACCATTGCTTCCCAGTTCTTGGTCAAATGGCATCAACTTGAAATTCTGACTTTTGTACTACCCAACAGAAATGTATGCCTATCAATATCGGTATTAGCTAAACTGTCCCACAACTAGGTTTTATAGAAATCATAGGCACTGCAAGATCAATAAATGTCACTTTTGCCAGAGAATAGTTCAAGGATTAGTAAATAATGCCTTCTTCTTTCAGTGTTTCCTGTCTCCCTAGTCTCCTCAGACATCTCAGTACAATGTGCTTTCCAATTATATCCAGTAAAGTGAATATGATGCAGGGTTCAGAATAACTTTGGATAAATTGCTTAAGAAGTCACATATTATATCTATGTCAGGATCATGACTCAAAAAAAAGATTGGAAAGAATTACTTACAGCTTGATCTGGATTCTTCTGGTTATATCCTGCCAGCAACCTCTCCTGTAAGGCCTTATTTGATTGATTGAATTGTTGCTTTCTTATCAATTAGCTTGTCATTAAAGAAAATAACTTGAAGGTATTGTTCCAAAGTTATTTGGTGATGGCTACTTTTAAGTAAACTGAACTAGAATTAATTGAGGGCTGATTTTGTGTGTACAGGACTGAATGGAGGATAAAATTCATAATCTAATGTGAAGGAAAAGTAGATTACAATTTTTAAGCTATTAAATAATTATAATACAAGGCAGGATATGATGAAAGTAAAATACCTTCTATAGTGTTTTACTTATAAAAATCTTTATTTGATATAAAAAGTTTTACCAAGAGAAGATGATAGCATATCAAATTTACCTTTTACCCCATATTAGGCAACAGCTGTGTTGTATATCAGTCTGTTTCACCAATTCCTGCAATCTCCTGTGGTATTTTCAGTATTTACTCGGTGGTATGTTTCTAAGTGTCTTTTTCATCTACACATGTAAAACTTTTATTAAACTTAAGAACAAGATTTTATAGTCATCCCATTAATTTTCACGTTGCTATTTTGTCAGACCATTCTGCCAAAATCCTTGTGGGGTCTCAATGTAAACATTCAACATAATAGCTACTCTTCTTTAATTTGTGCATTTTGCAGATGTGATAACCATATGAGTAGGGCCAAATACAGAGCTCTGTGACTTGCTGCTACTGTGTCTATGAACCAGTGTGCTCTACATGCACTTCTCTTAGCTCTGCTCCCTTTCTAATGCTTCCACATTGTTGACAGGTAGTTGAATTTTTAAAAATAAGAAGTAAAGATAATATATCTGGTATTGACCATCATGTATTTATTTATCAATTTATTCATTTATATATGTATTTATTTTATATTATTTTCATAACATTTTAAAATTAGAAAGGTTACAAAATACATTAAAAGTAGAATTGACCCTAAATATTAAGGAAAGCTGTGATAGTTAATTTTATGTGTCAAATTCTCTAAGCCATTTTACTCAGACATTCAACCAAAACATATCTAGTTGTCACTACATGTGAAGAAAATTTTCAGGTGAAATTAATATTTGAGGGCCAGGCACAGCGGGTGACACCTGTAATCTCAGCACTTTGGAAGGCCAAGGCAGAAGAATCTCCTTAGCCCAGGAATTTGAGGCTGAGTGAGCTAGGATCACCCCACTGCACTCACTCCAGGCTGGGCAATAGTGTAAGACCTTATCTAAAAAACAAAGTATTTTTCAATAAAGTATATTACCCTCCATAATGCAGTGAGACTAATCTGATTAGTTGAAGGCCTTAAAAGTAAAAAGAGGACCCGAAAAAGAGGAAATTCTGCCTCCAGACTGTCTTTGGATGAGCTGCAATGTCAACTCTTCCATGTATCTCCAGCTGGCTGGCTCCAGTTTCAAATTTGCCAGATCCCAATTTCATAAAATCAGTCTTCTCCCTCTCTCCTTCTCCCCACTCTTCTCTGTTGGTTGTGTTTCTCTGAAGAATCCTTACTAATTCAGGGACTGATGGCAATCAAGCAAACATTAAGATATTCTAGAGCAGCCCCAGGCCACAGACCGGTACTGGTTCGTGACCTGTTAGGAACTGGGCCACATAGCAAGAGGTGAGCCCCGCCAAGTGACCATTTACCACTGAGGTTCACCTCCCGTCAGATCAGCAGCAGCATTCGATTCCCACGGAAGTGCGAGCCCTATTGTGAACTGCTTATGAGAGGAATCTAGGTTGCATGTTTCTTATGAGAATCTAATTAATGCCTGATGATCTCAGATGGAACCAAGTTTCATCATGAAACCATCAGCCCTATCCCCTACCCCCCTATAGCATTCTTGGAAAAACTGTTTTCCAGGAAAATGGAATCTGGTGCCAAAAATGTTGGGGACCACTAGAGAGGACTTCTGCATCAGGTAGAAAATGGTCTCAATGATTTCTATGACCACTTCCAATACTCCTTTATGACCTCCAATGACCTATTGTTTCCAATCAGTAGAGTGTTTGAATGCCACATGGCTCACTGCTTAGATGTACTTATAGTTACTGACTGAAACACAGGCAGCTGACATGAATAACAACATAATACTGGCTGGGGGCGGTAGCTCATGCCTGTAATCCCAGAACTTTGGGAGGCTGACATGGGCGGATCACTGGAGCCAAGGAGTTTGAGACCAGGCTAGGTAACATGGAGAACCCCGTCTCTACCAAAAATACAAAAATTAACTGGGCATGGTGGTGCATGCCTGTAATCCCAGCTACCTGGGGTGCTGAGGTGGGAGGATCGCTTGAAACCAAGAGGCAGAGGTTGCAGTGAGCTGAGATCATGCCACTGCACTCCAGCCTGGGTGACAGAGTGAGACCCTGTCTAAAAAAAAAAAAAAATCAAAAATTAAAATGGCCTTTATTACAGCTATAAAATGCTGTAACTATACCATTCTTTCACATATCCATCACATTTGAATTTCCCAAACATTCATGACACACATGGCTTACATTTTTATTGCATTTTCAAACAAAGAAACTAATATTTAAAAGGTACACCATTAGAAAAAAGGTTAGGACTACTTCACAAAAGTCTTTTTATTTTAGCATCACATCTTGTTTTATATAGAAAAAAATCAATCAATGAAAACTGGACTTCTGTGAACTGAATTATGTCCCCCTCAAAAGTCGCAAGTTGAAACCTTAACTCCCAATATGATGGTATTTGAAGGTGGAGACTGTGGGAGGTGATTAGGTTTAGATGAGGTCATGAGGGTGAAGCCCATATGATGGGATGAATGCCCTCATAAAGAGACACAGAGCCCTCAAACTCAGAGTTGCACTTTGTGCTCTTTATTTCTCTCTCTCCCTCAGAAAGAGAGACTTCACCAGAACCTGACCATTCTGGCACCCTGAGCTTAGCCTTCCAGCCCGTAGAACTGTGAGAAAATAAATTTTTGTTGTTTACACTACTCAGTCTACGGTATTTTGTTATAGCAGCCTAGGCTGACTAATACATGAACTTAGAGATTTGAGGTGGGTCTTTTTTGTTTTTTGTTTTGCTTTGTTTTGAGACAGGGTCTCACTGTGTAGTCGAGGCTGGAGTGCAGTGGCACAATCACAGTTCACTGCAGCCTCAACCTCCCAGGCTCAAGCAATCCTCCCACTTCAGCCTCTCAAGTAGCTGAGATCACAGGTGCATGCCACCTCACTTGGCTAATGGCTAATATTTTTATTATTTTTGAGATGGGGTCTAACTATGTTGCCAAGGCTGGACTCGAACTCCTGGGCTCAAGTAATCCTTCCACCTCGGCCTCTCAAAATGCTGGGATTATAGGCATGAGCAACCATGTCCAGCCCAAATTTGGGGTGTTACTGAATTATAAACCCACTCAAGATGATGCATATGTTAAGAAAATTTATTTTAAAAACAAGTAAGATTGTACAATCAAATGGGAAGGTCTTTAAATGTAAATAAGGGGAACTTGAACATGAGGCAGCATCAGAATCACAAGTAGAGCTTGTTAAAGCTCAGATTGCAGATCGCATACCCACAGTGTCTGATTCAATGTGTTGGGGTGACTCCCCAAAATTTGCATTTCTGACAGTAGTTCCCAGATGATAGTGATGCTAAACCATACTCTTAAATGACTGACACAACTTGATAAAAAGTGTAAATTACAGTCTATTAAGAACACTAAGAGTGCATTTTACACAAACACACACATACACAGAATACCAAACTAAATTTATAAGATGTGAACCCATCTGACAAAAGGAAGTTTTAAATTTTTCTCCAATATAGTTTAATAATTTTTCTCCAATATAGTTTAATAATCACCAGGTTTGGGAATTAAGTGTCTAAAGTTAGTAAATTAGCAAAGAAATTGTATTTAATTAACATAGAAAAACAAGGCTAAGAAGATATTATTTAATAAAAGGTCCTTTTAAAATTTTTAGGCTGGGCGTGGTGGCTCATGCCTATAATCACAGCACTTTGGAAGGCCGAGGTGGGCAAATCACGAGGTCAAGAGATGGAGACTATCCTGGACAACATGCTGAAACCCAGTCTCTACTAAAAATACAAAAATTAGCTGGGCGTGGTGACGCGCGCCCTAGTCCCAGCTACTCGGGAGGCTGAGGCAGGAGAATCACTTGAACCCTGGAGGCAGAGGGTACAGTGAGCCGAGATCACGCCATCACATTTCAGCCTGGTGACAGAGCGAGACTCTGCCGCAATAAATAAATAAATTAATTAATTAATTTTTTAAAATACAAAATATACAATTAAAATACCAAGTTTTTATTTCTTTTTTAGGAGATGAGGTCTCACTGTGTTGTCCAGGCTGGACTCAAAATCCTGGGCTCAAGCGATTCTCCCTCCTTAGCCTCCCAAGTAGCAGAGACTATAGAGTTTTTATTTCTAAGGTGCATTAGTTGTCACAAAATAGTTTATTTTGAATATATTTGATATGCACACTAAAATCCAGTCAACATTACCAATCAACTTAGTAAGCCCTTTCTTCCTGGACGGAATAAATGTAAACCAATATAACCCTAGGAAGAATCATAACCATAAGAAGGGAAATAAACAATTCCAGCAACATTATCAGAAAAAAATATATGAATTTAATGATTTTAAATAAGAGGGAAAAACAACTGTTACAGTTAGCTTTAAGAATAAAGCTTCAGTAACTGTTCAATAAAATTAGTGGATGAATGAACTATTATTTAAAATATCAGTAATGAGTTATATAATAACAACATCTAATACATTACTTATGTAATTATATATAAACATCATACACATATATAAAGCTGTCATAAGCAGCAATGAGAAGATGCTGAGAATGCTATATTTGTCTATCAATGAGCTGTAAGTAAAACTAATCTTGAGTATGGATAGGAACAATAATGAACAGAATATATACATATATAAGATAAACATGAGGCAAGATAATCACTAATGTCAAACCTGAATTTCTAACTTTCTGTGTGGCAAGTCACTAGTTCTTGGTCTCTTTCTTCAATGTCCCTCAAGAATTATCTTGCTTGAAACAGAAATGAAGCACCCAATATTTCATGCACTTCTGCTTTTCCTTATAATATTCATCGGCTCCTCTCCCTCTGTAAAAAGTGACTGTCAAGACATCCACCTCACAGTTATTTCTTAGAATGCCCAAGGACAGACTCAAAAACCAACAATCAGCCCAGTTTAACTGAGTTTGGTTTAAATGCATTTGCCTCAATCTCTCTTAAATTCCAAAGAAAATGGGTTATAAAATTAATATTAAAAATGATATACATTAAGGCAAATATATGAACTATTCTGACACATAAAGCAATTTTGCAAAAGAATAACAATTTCATTATAATCTCTTATTTATTATGTCCTATATCTGTGTTCTTAATAGTATTATAAATGTATTCCAGCTAATCCTAAAGATTTAATAAGAGGCAAAATTAGTTGTTGTCTAGCTATAAACAAATATTTATTTCTCAAAGTTATATTTTGTATACAGTTAGAATTAACATATTAGCAAAATGAAAGACAACTAAATTTGCTATGTATCTGCAAATCAATTATTCAGGCTTTAATTAAAAACAAAAAGCTAGTGGCAAAAAGAAAGAAAAAAAGAGGAGAAAACGTGTCATATAAAGCTTTAAGTATCCATGCAATAAGTTTGAATAAATGTTGTTGTTTTCATGTAGTATGAGGATTCAGCGCTATCTTCTCTCTTTAATTCAGTTTGGGTAAGCATGGTAGGTCTTATATACAAAAGCAAAACAAAATTTAAAAAGATAAAACAAAAAAAAATCAATGAAATAACACAATGTTAAGAAGAAGTAATGTTTAAGAGGAAATCAAAGGAAGGGAGAGCAGCTAAAAAGACAGAGAGAAAGATAAAGGGTAAAGGATTTAAAAATTAAACAGAAGAGAAAAGATAAAAGAAGAAAAGGCAAAAAGCAATGCAGCAGGATTTAAGAAGCCAGTAAAAAGAAAAGACATGCAGTGATCACAAAGGAATAACAAGTGCCAAAGAAAAGATACTTGATGTAATGAAGAGAGAAAAAAGAAAGTAAAATAAAAGCAGTTGTAAATTAATTTTAAAGCACATTAATGGGAAAATACAATGTTAATGGGCTCCCAATTTTTTTTCCATCCTCTTTGCTCTGTTATTGATAAGAAGAAAAATCAGTCTTTATGCACAGGAGATTTAGAACAAATTTCCAAAGCACAGGGTTACAGCAAGGCTTAGTAAAAAGTGCACTGCCACTGGCAGGTTTTATGATGTTGTACAAGTAATTTACCTTTTCTATCCCACATTGCATCTCTCAATTTTCTAAGTTTTATGTATTGAAGCAAACTTGCCTTACTTTTGATGTCCTTAGCTAACTAAATGTTGTGACTTTATTTGCAATCCGTCACTAACTCTGATTTCTGAAGCCATTAACTTATTTTGTGGTGAAATAAAAGATGTACCATACCGACAAACTGAATTACAAGTAGAGTCATTTTTAAATAATCAAACACAATGGTTCTCAACAATGGTAGTGCCATTGAGAGAGTCAAAAATTTGATGGGACATTTATAGTTGTCATAATAATTGATGGGAATTGCTCATACTTACTAGGTAAGGACATGGAATGTAAGATGTCCTAAAATTTCCCACCGGACATTCTTTTAGGTATGAATAGGTTTATAGTTATTTAACTCTAGACCCTATCTTCACTTTCCATTCAAATATAAATATAATGTATTATATTATGTAATTATATCACACACAGATAAAATATTATATAACATGTATAATTATATATTATTACAGTTTAATATACATTGAATTATCTAGGAATACAACTAACATAAACCAAGAATGTATTTTAGTTTGTCAGAACTAAACCAAGAGTTGTTCACTACTTCAGAAAATGACATAATCAACATTAATGCTGCTCTTGGAATTTGAAACTCGAATACAAAGCATTAATATTAGTTTGCATTTGTAGTCATTCCTCACATGGATGATTCAATAATACATGCAAACCTTTACTATATAAATGTCTGTGAATTTAAAACCTATAACTATTTACCACAAATTACGTTACAGTATTAAATACCTTTTCTTCAACAAAGTATAGGAAAGTCTTTTATCTCTGTATTTCATTTCAAGATATAAAGATGATATTATAAAATATCTACTATAAATAATGTTAATATAACCTAGAGTATGGAGGACCACTGGTCTAAGGCATAGAGACTGAAATATAAGAACTCATTAAGATCAAGGACCATAGGTGTTTATTTGATGTTTACTGAATGAGTAAATGAAATATAAAGCAAATAAAACATCATCACTTGAACACAGTCCATAGCTCTTCATTTATGTATTTTTATTTCTACTAAGGTGTTGAGAATTCCTTCACTATATGGAAAGTAAACTGTGCTGATGTGATTACTTTAAATGTATACAGTACTTTCTTTTAATTAGAATCTGTCTTCTATAAATGTTAGGGCCAATGCAACATTAAGTAGTAATGTAGCAGTAAATACTGAACTCATAAAACCTTTACAGTGAAACTGTATGTGTTTAAACAGTGATAAGTGAAATACAAGTTACAACTGATTGCAATATACACTGCTGTATGAAACAACCTAGATTTTTTTAAATATACAAAGTTAATGTACATACAGCCACTTTGGAAGACAATTTGATAGTTTCTTACAAAGATACACATGGCCTTACTACACAACCTGAAAATTGCTCTCTAGGTATTTATCCAAATGAACTGACATAAACACAAACACCTACACAAGAATGTGAGACATTTATAGCAGCTTTACATATAACTGCCAAAAACTTGGGCACAAGCAAAATGTCCTTCAACAGCTGAATGGATAAACAAACCGTGAAGCATCCATATAATGAAATGTTATTCAACAATAAAAAGAAGTGATCTATCAAACCATAAAAAGACAAGGAGAGGCCGGGCGCAGTGGCTCATGTCTGTAATCCCAGCACTTTGGGAGGCAAAGGCGGGCAGATCACGAGGTCAAGAGATAGAGACCATCCTGGCCAACATGGTGAAACCCCGTCTCTACTACAAATACAAAAATTAGCTGGGTGTGGTGGTGCATGCCTGTAGTCCACTACAAATACAAAAATTAGCTGGGTGTGGTGGTGCATGCCTGTAGTCCCAGCTACTCAGGAGGCTGAGGCAGGAGAATTGCTGGAACCAAGGAGGTGGAGGTTACAGTATATAGTATTCCAACTATATGACACTCAAGAAAAGGCAAAACTACAGAGACAGTAATAAATTCAGTGGTTCAATAAGTCAGGGGCTCAAGGAGGAGAGAGTTATGAATTGGTACAGCAGAGGGGAACTTCTCTGTATGATACTGTAATGGTGGATATATGACATCGTACATTTGTCAAAACCCGCGGAAAAAAACAACACAAAAAATGAACACTAATGTGATCTCTGGATTTTGGCTAATAATACTGTATCACAATTGGTTCATCAATTGTAGCAAATGTACCTAATGCAAGGTGTTAATAATAGGGGAAACTGTGTTGGGAGAGGAAAAGGAATAATGGAAACTCTGTACTTACAAATCACTTTTTCTGTAAACCTAAAACTTCTATTTTGAAAAGCCCACTAGTCAAAAAAGAAAGAAGTTAACAAATCAGGTTATATGTTCATAATTCTTCAGTACAAATATTTTGTGGAAAGACTGATACCATATGCCCGCTACACATTTGTGCTTGAGGGTCCAGCAATATATGCGTCTCTCGAGAAAAACTCAAAGTTTTTATTCCTGCCCTTAGCTCAAATCACACTCCAGGGAGGTGTAGAACAAATAGGTATATGTAAAGTTAAATACTTTCATTGGGCCACAGGGCATGTCCTCTCTCTTGGGATTTTTTGTAATTAGAGATTGCTTCTTTCTCTCCTTCTATATCTAACTAGATACATCACACATTTCTGTAAAGAGTGGAATGAGAACTTCCAGTTAAAATCAGAAAGGAAAGGTATACATTTAGCCCTTCTCCCTCCATAAACTATAAAAAATGACAGCTAAAGACTATTCAAAAAAGGAATAAACCTACAGGGATAGAAAGTTCAAGAGGAAGACAATAGCAACAAAATGTCGGAAGTTAGAATGCTAATACGTGAGTTATACCTGATCAACCAGACCTCAAAAAGCTGAATCACTGGCTAACACTGGGGACAAACCAAGAAACTATCTGATCCATACCACAGATATCCCCAGATCTTCTGGGGACTAGGTACCTCTGGAAGAGGACTGATTTAAGCTGTTTAAGAAGGAATTATACCTTCCTGCTCCCTCTACCTACTTCACACAACCAGATACCTCCTCCTCCCTAATCCAAGCAGAAAATCATTTTACAATTTGATAGCAATTTTTCTTTTTATATTTATTGGTTTATTTACATTTTCTGATAAGTGAATCCATTTCTTTTTTTCTTCTCTGGAAGAAGGATATAAGTTGATTAAAGAAGAAAGAGAGAGTGGTAAAAGAAGAGAGGAAAAAAGAAAAGAGGGAGGGAGAAAATCAGACACAGTAAGACAAAAATATTAAGAACTGGAATCAGGCATGTTTTAAGGTTTCTCTAGAGAAACAGAATATGTCTCCACAACAATTATGAGGAATTGGATCACGTGATTATAAAAGCTAAGAAGTCCCATGGTTTTCCATCTGCAAGATGAAGGCCCAGAAAAGCCACAAGTGTAGTTCCCAGTCCACACCAAAAGGCCTAAGACGGGGAGCCCCTGGCATAAGTCCCAGGCTGTGTCTGAAGGCTAGAGAACCAGAAGCACTGATGTCCAAGAGCAGGAGAAATGGAAGTTCCAGCTGGAGCAGAGAGAAAATTTATCCTTCCTTGGCCTTTCTGTTCTATTCAGGCCCTCAGTTAATCGGATGGTGCCCACCCTCCACGGTGAAGGTCATCTTCCTTACTCAGACTACTACCTCTACATATTAAAATGCTACTCTCTTCCAGAAACACCCTCACAGACACACCCAGACATAATGTGCTACCAGATATATAGGCATCCCTTGGCCCAGTCAAGTTGATTTATAAAATTAACCATTACAAGGTATAACTTAGTTTCATTCAGTGAGAAAGATAGAAAGAGTAGCATGATGTTACTTATCACTTAAGTAATATCTTTTCCTTGTGATGTCTGGGTCCTAAGATAAGTAAATAATGCTAGAATGCATCAAGTGAGTACATAGGCCTTCTTTTTTCCCCTTGTTACATCCTAAGTGACCTAAAGTAAAATTTCTTCAATAAATAGGCTTTCATAAACATGCACTCATTTGCATGAAATACTCTACACAAAATTGCTACAGCCAAAAAAAGAACAAGACTACAAGCAATCAATTATCATGTTGAGCCAAAAGTGAAATGAGGAAAAAAGAATATCATGAATTCTTACTGGAACCACCGGGCACCTAGTGATCTCTAAAGAATAAAAGGAATATGGTAATCAAGTCAATAACAGTCACGTTCTCTTAAAAAATTGCCTAAATTTTGACCCAGTGACGTCTCCCAAATAATGATCAAGGTATAAACTATATATTAACTATATATTACTGTTTCTCATTTTTATAAGTCATAAGGTTATTCAGGATAAGATGATCACTTGTCATTTAAGATACTAATGAAAATAATCTCAGTTTATCATTGACTTAGAGAAAGAAAATATTCTATCCAAGTCTTTCTCCAACTCTACTAAACACTCCTTTTCCCCAAAAAGAGAGATGGGAAAAGTAGGAGAGTATATCTTTATGGGATTTATTTCCACATATAATTTTAAAGGTTTACCATCTAAATCTATACATTACTGGAATGAAGCCTCTATGTTAATAAAAATCAGCTCAATAAACATGTTTTAAGTATAAAAGGCTGTTGACTTACTCTAACAGGATCAGAAATATTTAAGTTTTGAGAGATAACTTTCTATACACATCATAAATTTTTAAAATAAATGTTACATATGACAGAAAAGTAGTTAAATCTATGTACATGAATTGGATATATGGTAATGAAATGAGTCAATCCTAAAACAATGTTATTATGAAATAAAGTTAATTGGGTATAGGCTTAGGATATGGCAGAGGGAAGGTGTAGCAGATGAAAGGAAGTTAAGCACATTTTTTAAAATTCTGATTTTCTGGGTGGTTCCCCTTGTCATATAATGAACTATTACTTTTCATTTCTGAATAACTGAGGAGATTAAAGCATTCAACTGTAGCTCATGAATTACTCTGAAAGCTGTTCAGAATTTAAATGTTATGGTTGTTCTCTCATTTTTCATTGTCTAATAAGTGAGTTTATTAATAAACAAATGAGTTTATATATTCCAAATAGCAGACTATTCATGTTCCCCCCAATTCATTCATTCATTCAATAAATATTTACTGATCTACAAAGGTCAAGCCCCATATTATGACAGTTTGAACAAGACTCACACTTCCTATATCCTCATGGAGTTTGCAAATTGGTACAGAACAGACATTAAACAAACATATTTGAGGTGGGAAGATCACCTGAGCCCAGGAGGTCGAGGCTGCCATAAGCCAGGATGGTGCCACTGCACTCCTGCCTCAGCAACAGAGCGAGACTCTGTCTCAAAACAAGCGAATTGATTTGTTACAAATAAGTACATGAAATTAGCTATAAAAAAAAGGATTGAGGAGTTACCTTTATTACCTATATTGAGGAGCTACCTTTAAGTAGGGTGGTCAGCAAAAGCTCATAGATAAGACATTATTTAAATGAGACCCAAAGTATAAGGAGCAAACCACACATATGGCATGGAGGGAAAAATTCCCAACAGTGACAAGAGCACATGCCCTGAAGCAAAGAGGATTGCAAAACCAGAGAGAAAGCCAGTGATGCCAGGCAGAATGAACTAGGAAGAAAGTACCAATAGATGAAGAAGAAAAACTAGGCAGGAGCCAGATTATAGAGGGCCTTTCAAAGTTAAGGTAAGATGTTCGTATTTTATTCCAAATACAAGTAAAGACTTTCACATTGAGGAGTGACATGATCCAATTTACACTTTTAGTAGAGCACCATGACTGTGCTCTGTGGAAAATAAATTAAATTTTCTGGTGGGGATTCTTAGATGTTTTGGGTGCCATGAGATTCTGTCAGTCTAGTGAAACTATTGCTATCGTTTGCATGTTGTCCATTCCAAAACTCATGTTGAAATGTAATTGCCATTGTAATAGTATTAAGAGGAGAGACCTTTAAGAGGTGATTAGGCCATGAGGGCTCTGCTTTCATGGGTGGGACTGATACTATTAAAAAAGGGTGAGTTTAGCCCCCTCTTTCGCTCTCTCTAAACCATTCTGCCATGTGATGATGCTGCAAGAAAGCCCTTGTGAGAGGTTGGCACCCTGATATTAATATTTTGAGCCTCAAGAACTGTGAGTCAATAAATTTCTATTCATTATAAATTACTCAGTCTGTGATATTCTGTTACAGCAGCACAAGACAGACTAAGACAAAAACTGGTATCACGAATGGGGTTGTTACTATAACAAATACCTAAAAATGTACACGTGACTTTGGAACCAGGTACTAGTTACAGGCTGGAACAGTTTTGAAATGAATGCTATAGGAAAGTCTGTATTTACATGAATAAAGCATTAAGGGCAATTCTTTTGTCAGCTCAGAAGAAGAGTTGTAGGGAAAAATCTGAATCTGCCTAGAGATAAGTGGTTGTGACCAGAATGCTGGTAGAAATACGGACAGTAAAGACTCAGATGGAAATGAGGAGCAAGGTACTGAAATCTGAGACAGATCTATCCTTGTTATAAAGTAGCAACAAATTTGGCTGAATGTCTGTGTACTAGGACTTTATGGAGGGCAGAACTTAAAAGCAATGAACTAGGATATCTGGCTGAAGAATTATCTAAGCAGCTCAGTATTTCATGGTACTGCATAGCTTCTTTTAATTCCATATATTAAAATATGAGATGAGAGAAATAATTTAAAGATGGAGTTTATAATTAAATAAGAAAGAACACAAAGATGTGGAAAATTCCTAGCCTGATCATGTAAAGAATGGAAAAGCATGTTTGGTAAGGAAAATCAAGGTGCAGCCCAGTGACCATTTGATAAGGAGATGAGTATGGATGGAGAAAAGCCAGAAATTATTGTACAAAATAATTGGAGAATGACCCTGAAAGCATCTTGGAGATTTTCCAGGTTGTTCCTCCCATCACATGCTTGACGGCAGAAAAGCTTTGAAAGAGAAACCCAGGGAGCCTGCAGGACCTCAGCATTCCTTACCCTGAGCCACCTCAAGTGTCTGCTCCCCAAATTCTGGCACATCTCTCGGCTCCCCGAGTCATGGCTCAACCCAGCCCAGTCACAGCTTGGGTCACCACTCCAGAGGATGCAAACGATAAACCTTGGCAGTGTCCACATGGCGCTAACTCTGCAGATGTATACAGTGCATGACCTGTGGGGCTATGATGTCCTCCACCTAGATATTAAAAGATGCCTCAGAGAGCCTGGGGACCCAGGCTAAGAACTGCCCCAGGGACGGAGCCACCACAGCGATGAGGCCATCTGCAGAACTCTAGAGCTGCCAGAGTGTAACACCAACCTGGCAAAGTTGCAGGTACAAGACTCCAACCTCTGAGGGCTGTTATGCGGGCTGATTCCAGCAAAGCCACAGGGGTAGGGATGCCTAAGGCCTTGGGGGCCCGATTCCCACCCCAGTGTATTTGGGAGGTGGGACAAAGAGACAAAGAAGATTATTCTGGAGCTTTAACATTTAATGCTGTTTGCTCTGTTGGGTTTTACACTTATTTGAGATCAGTTACCCATTTTTTTCTTACCTATTTCTCCCTTTTGAAATAGGGAGAAATATTATACTATTCCAAGAGGGAAATTTGCCTCAAGATGAATGGTGCCTTGAGTCTCACCCATATGTGAAACTCTACACTTTGGACTTTTGAGTTGATGCTGGAACAAATTAAGACTTTTGAGGCTACTGGGATGGAAGGAATTTATTTTGTATGTTAGAAGGACGTTAGTTTGGAGGGCTCAGGGATGAGATTCTATGGTTTGAACATACGTCCCGTCCAAAAATCATGCTAAAATTCAGTTGCCATTGTAACAGTATTAAGAGGTGTGGCCTTTAAGAGGTGACTAGGCCATGAGGGTTACACCCTCATGGTGGAATTGGTGCCATTATAAAAGGGTAAGTCCAGCCCTCCTTTTTCTCTTTCTCTTTGCTCTTCTTCCACGTGATGCCATAGCAAAAAATGCCCTTACCAGATGCCCGTATATTGATAGTGTATTTCCCAGGCTCCAGAATTGTGAATCAATAAATTTCTGTTGATTATAAATTACCCAGTTAGTGGTAAATACTAAAACACCTATTTCCTCCTTAGAAAAATATTTTTAAACGCATAAAGTAAATATATAGAATAAAAAATGAAACTAATTCTTGAGATTCATTTTTATCAGGAACCTTTGGAGGCAAAGAACCTAGGGTTTAGAATTCTTGCTAGTGAGCATGAATCAAAGTAACAAATTAGACAGCTGTTTCCCTGAAGGAGAGGTGTGGATGACTTTTAAAAAGTGGGAATTTGGGATTCTTTGCTTCTGAGGTAAGTCTGAATTTCTGAACATGGACATTTCACTCTGTGATACCACTCTGGGATAAACAATAATAACAAAAGTTAGCATTTACTAAGCAATTACTATGTTCCAGGCACTAGGCTAAGTGCTTTATATTGCAAAGTTTGATTTAATTTCCATAACAACCCTTTGAGATAGGCTTTATTTTTATCCCATTTTTACAAATTAAAATTTAGAGCCCAGAGATATTAAGCAACTTGCCCACTACCACACACCTGGTCATTGTCAGAACGGGGAATAAAGCCCAGAGTCAGGTATTACTGAGTATCCACTAAGTGCTCAATACTAGATTGGCAATAATTGAAACCCAAAGTATAATCCAGGGCCCAGATCTGAAGGAGCCAAAAAACTGTTTAAAAGAATAATAAACATAAATACAACATTAGTGGAATATGGGAGACCATAAAAATATGTGCTTACTATATATACTGTAAGCATTAAGTATTCAGAGACATAAGAGCACTATACGTTGTAGGGAATGTTTTAGGGGAAATTATAGGACTTGAAATGTTTCTTTAAATCTAGGTAAGTTTAAGATAGGCTTAAAGGTAGAAGTAGTACATTTTGGTAATGAAGGCAGTGAATCATATGACGTAACATAGGACAGTCAACAGACTTCATGGCAGAAAATGTAGTACCAAAATCTAGAATTTTAACCTCCTAGCTATGAGATTTTAGAAAGTTATTGAATTTCCTTGTTATTCATTGCTCTCATTAGTAAAATGTGTTTAAGGTCATCTACTTATGAAATTATATGAATGTATGTTGCAAACGGAAAAACAGTTTCCCTTGGCAGTTTTGCATATATATTACAGCATGGGAACTGATTTTTGCTTTACCAAAAGTCAGGGACCTCATATAATCTTGTTTTATCTATTTATTTTGTCCCATATAGCCCCAGTGAAGAATTCTGGGTGCTGCATGTCTCATTTGAAACTTCTCATTTCTACGTATCAATGAAATGCTGAAGGCGAACCTCACCCTGAGCTACCTTCCTTCCAGTAACCCTGTTCTTGGAATCCAGTTCTATAGCAACAGCTTCCGAGTGACAATCATAATGACTAAAAATTGCTTAATGTGTTATTCTCTCCATAAATCATTTATGCTTAATAATTGCCCCCAATGTCCTATAGCTAAAAATTGGAAAAGTAAATAATTTCATATCTTATGGAAATAACGAGTAAGAAAGCTGAAATTCCGGAATAGAAAGGCTTCTGGGTCTTCTCTGAGCCATACCGCCAAGGAGTGGCAGCCATTTTGAGTAAACTACGTTAACGAGTCTAGTATTATAATAGGAAAGAAATATCAGTTAAATGCCTTAGGAGGTTGCTGTCAAATAACCAACTCAGAAATGGGCATTTCAAGACTGAAACAGAAGGCCTTTCTCTTTTAAGATTTCTTAATAAAGAGTCCTAAAATAAAAGATGGCAAAATAGTAACATTCACCAAATCTGAATGGTGGGTACAGGGATTCTTCTAAATTAGCCTCTGTCCCCTTTTTGCATTTTAAGCATCTGTAAACTTGAAAGTAACAAATCTTAAAAAGTAAAAATAAAGAAATTCTTACTATAGTGGATACAGAAGTTTGTTCAACAGTTAATTCCAATATTCATGTTTCTCGTCTTGTGTACCACATTAACTAATCTTCTGGCAACTGATTATGACAGGCTAGATAAAACACATCTGGACCCAACAAAACACTTTATCCCAAATTCTTGTGAATTCAAGACTAGATCCAGATAAGGCTTTGGGGGGTTTTCGTAAACCTAAAAATTATAACAGCGCATCACTAATTAGCTATTTTTAAAGCTAAGAATATAGCCAAAAACTATGTTGACATACTTTGCCAAAACTTGATATAAATTATAAAAAGTGCATATATGATATCATGTACAATACACATTTCAAGAAACTTAATAATGTGAATTTATAACTGTTCTACAATTTATAGTTTTCAGAGAACTTTCAGTTACATTATTTAAGTTAACAGTAGAAAGTATAACTTGTATATTCTGTAGGGAAATCATACAAGTGTTAATTCAGCACAAGTCTTGACATGCCAGATGAAAAAGCTACCCTTTGGCATATTTTCAGCTAAAGAAGGCTCTCTTAACAGTCTTGAATTAACTTGTTGAAATTGCTTAATATGCTAGTTGTATAAATGATAATTAAATATATAAGAGTGAAATATAATTTATTTATATTTCTCTGTTTAACTGACAGTTTAATAGTCAGCAGTTCTATGCTTCCACAGTTAAACATGTAAACCTTAATCTAACACCAAATTATTAAAGAACAAGAGGCAGCAAAAGAGAAATAAGAATGTCATCTGATTATTGCATAGATTAAAAATTGATGCAAAAGTGCCATCTTTAAAATACACTTAAATTATATGAAGCTAATTTCTAAACAACTTCTCAAAAAAGTGCAAACATTTTTGTTTTTTTCTTGGCAAACACACAGCCCAACAGACTGGACTTTTGTGATACAGACCTCTACCACCACCCCCTCAATTCTGATGATCCCTGCAGGCAACCAACAACTGCTGTATCTGTGGAATGTGCTCTTTGAACTGTACAAAAGCCTTCAGCCTTTCCTGCATTCTGCAAAGGAAAACTGCCAAGTGTGATTATTTTTCTGATTTAACATAATACAAGTGTTATTTCTACCCCCAACCCCACTCCTTTAACTTCTTTAGTGCCAACGATGGCCTATAATATGTACATTATGTATAAATATACAAAAAATAATCATTTTTCCTAATCAAAATTAGACTTGTTTTAGTAGTATAATAATTCGATTGAACATATTATTAAATTCAACAGGCATCATATTATCTTTTGTGTATATGTTTTAAGAATTCTATTTCTATAGACGTATTCAAGGATTGAATGGGATTAGGCCTTTTAATTATATGACTGGGATCTTCAGCTTGAAATATTTTTTACAAAAAAAAAAAGACAAACACAATAGTTGTTTATATTCAATTCATTTACCAAAAAATCTCATTAGTGTTAATAAGAATATGTCCTTCCAAATGTGAATATCTCTTGATATTTGAAAGAAAATGAAAAGTAAAAGGCAAAACAAGTCCTAAAATAGAGGTGCACAGATATTTAAACTCACCTACTAGTTAAATGTTAGAATATTACATTCTTCTAAGCTAAATCCAAAATAAACTGCTTTTTCTCCACTGATTGTCCTTGACATCGTGCATACCTGAGTACTTTTCTTTTTTAAAAAGACAGTATTGAACCTAGTACTAAACAGTTGGTTCCATTTTTCGTGTATATTAATGCTTCAAATTAATGGTTTCCATTAAAAAAATCAGTTACATTACTGTTTGAAAATATATGAAGTTTTATTACTAAAATTAAGTTTTGAAGAGATAAGACACCATCATTTATTTTACACAGAAGAAACAGTTATCAAGTAGAACTAGATATTACAAGAGACACTAAGAAAATATATGAAATATTTTTGTTCAAAAGAAGTTAACAATCAGGTTGAGGGGAATAAGGCACAAATGCATAAAGCAATTAAAGTATATGAAAAATGTATATGATATATATTTGCCCTTTTTAATTAAAAGAAATTTGTTCATTCCATGCCTTATTTCACTAAAGTTCAGCTTCATACCTTTTTTGAGAACCAGAGGCATCTTAAGATATTACAAAGCAAGGTTAACTTTAACTGGCATAGAAGTTGAACCATTCTACAGATATAGATTTCTTTATCAAATATTTATTTTCTATATTGGTTAAGTCACTTCTTATCATTTATCCCATTAAAACCTTTTTACTAATTAGGTCATTTAGTGTTTTATCTTTTTATTGACCCACTGATTTAATAAGTGTTTATTAAACAATGACTGTATCAAACAAAAGATAAAGGCTCATGCTTTAAAATTGGACATGTGAAAGTTCAAATTTTGGCTGTATCACTTAGTAACTGGACCAGCTACTTAACTTTTCTGTTTCAGGTGCATCTTCTGCAAAATGTACCTGGGTAACATAAAGGAAACTATCATCAACAACTCTGAAGGCTCCCGCCTCCCAGAGGAAGCTGTATTTCCACTGGATCTTGAATGACAGCAGAGGTTCATTTACCATATAAGGAAGGGGTACTTTCCAAACAAAGAAAACACAGTATGCAAAGAGACATGGAGGGCATGAGATCTTTGGAGGATCACTATACAAAGAAAAGTTCTGAAATATTTTAGGTTATAGAAGGTTAGGTTAGAGACAGCTTATATGCATGTTATACTTTAATCCTTCATTTTATATATATATATATATTAATTTATTAGGATAAAATCCATTAAAAGAAACACAATTACCAAGCTTGAAATTTTAGAATCATCCTGATCTTTCACCTCTGCATCCATTACCCAGTCCTACAGAAAAGCAATGCTATGCACAAAGGTCACAAGGCACACAAGAACATAAAGCCATCAATTAATTAAATTAAACCAGCATAGGTGGAGTAAGAAAGAAAAGTCAGAAATATGCTGAGTAGAGAAAAATGATGATAGAGAGACAGGCACAATCCAAACTTTGCAGGGCCAAGCTGAAGAGTTATTTTGATTTTACCCTATGTTTAAAGGGAAACAACAGCAAAATTTTAAGCAGAAAATAAAAATTACTCATTTTTTTTTAAAAAGGTAATTTTTGTTACCTAGTGAATTGGAGGAGATAAAGGGTATAAAGAATTGAGTAAACCAATTAAGAGATCATTGCAGTGATCCAAGTGAAAGTTTTAGACTAGGATAGCATCAGTGGGCTGTAGTGAGATAAACACATCTGGAATCTATTTTGGAGATTGAATCAATGGGGCCAGTAAACATTTTACAGTGAAGATGAGAAGGGAGATGTGAAGGATGACCCAATATTTCTGACACAGGCAACTGAGTGTATAATCATGCCTGTTATTCACTAAGACAGAACATATCATAAGAGAAGCATAGTTTGATATGTGGGGCAGGAGCTGACAATATACTTAATTATACATGTATTTAGATGAATTCTTATGGGACATTTAAGCAGGGATATCAAGGAGGCAACTGTAAATTCAGATCTCAAATTCAGAGAAGAAATATGAGCTAGAGACACAAAAGTAGGAATTCCAACACCAAAGATGGTAGTTAAGGCTTTGGGAGTAAGTGAGCTCATCTAGAATAATGTACAGAGTGAGAAGATAAGGACAGAACACAGGAAAATAAATGTATGAGATGGGCAGAAAAAGGGCTCACAAGAAAGTCTTAGGAAGAATAAGTGAGAGAACATGCCATGAGAACATGGAATGATAGAAAGAGGAAGCAGTCACCACTGTTAAATACTTCAGAGAAGACAAGCGATTAAAAACTGTCCTTTAGATGTAGCAACAGTAACATCATTTCAGAACTTCTGGTTAAGCATAGCAGTCTAAACACATGCAATTATATCCACTCCTTCCCAAAATACTAACGCAGTGACAGTACAGAAGAGGTGACATCCACTAAGGTAGACCAACATACCTGTTATGTACTACATGGTCTAGCATGGATCCTCAAAGTTTTTCAGGTAATCAGCCAGTACTTTATTCAATCATTCAATCCCCCACCTTGTAGAAAAGGAGACTGGTCCAAGAGTCAAGAATGTACAGAAGAAAATACACAGGAGTTACAGTCCAGAAAAAAAATTCTCAAATCTGATGATAGTCTCCTTGTTAGCCTCAGAAAGAACTTCTAGTAATAGTTATATTCTACATGGATTTTGTAAAGATAAATAAGAACTCACTATAATAATCTGGCCACAGTTTTTTGGTTTGCTCTTTATGTTTAACACAATGGAACTATTTTTGACTTTTAAAAGATTATTATTTCCTTCAAGTATAGCCTTAAAAGATGTGAATTGTTCAACCATTTTAAAGTCTTCGTATTCCTTTCAACATAGTCTTCCAAAAGATTGCATTTAAAGGCAAAAGACTAACATTAACCTTGTGGTAAATAGACAACTTTCTTTTCTGAAAAACAATATTGAAATCAATTCATTCACCGAATATTTTTATTAAGGGCAGACCGCATGCCAGCACTACTCTATGCATTGAAAACACAGGCTTGAACAAGGCATGTAGGAGTAAACAAAATACTGAGTGGAAATGACAAGAGTGGGAAATAGTATGGTACCTTATGACACTGATTCTTAAAATCTACTAGAAAACAAAAATGTTTCAGGTAAGGATCTGCATATAAACAATACACACATTAGTATTCATCTCAATAATGAAACTGTTGAGAAATTATATTTCTTAAATTGCCTCAATTCATGATCTATATAGATTTAAATTCAAATATTGCTAGATTTAAAAATAATAAAAGCCAACAAAGTCAATCTCAGGTCACTTTAATCATAGGAAAAATATTAATAAAAGACAGAAATGCAATAGCAACATGATTTTACAACTGACCAACTAAACCAAAATTGTCCTTTGTACGAGCCTTCTTATAAATAGTTAAATATAAAAGGTTTGGAAAAGTTAAGATGCTGGCAATAATTGGGTACTCAGTTAAAATTTACCAATACAATTTTACTCTGAAAAATCTACATAGAATTTTGAGTTGATATTTGACTGTGTTTTGTTCATTCAAAATACATTTGTTTATGGAGAGGAGATTGTGTTGACGTTCATAAAGAAAAAGAGGGAGGGACAGTGACTGAAAGATATTCTGTGTAGGAATATGCATTCTCATCTGAACAGAGAAACTGGGGGTTGACTAGATCATCAAAACTAATTAAAGATCCTGGGTGGTGGAAAAATGGCATTGAGAGAAAATGAAAATTATAAAAAAAGAAATAGTAACACGTAAACTAATTAGATTTCTTTCTTTGAGACAAATGCTGACCTACCTTACTAATAGTGTCAAATTTGAGAACCTAGATTAAAGGTTTTGCTTTGGTCATTCTACCAACATTAACTCTGTCTGTTCTTACAGCTAATACAAGGAAAATATCTTGGCATTATCAAGTTAAAATTATAAAATACAAGCACATGAAATTTTCATAAAATTCAATGGGAGCAACTAGAACAAGTTGTATCTCATGTCACCATTTTGCTTAGAATCAAATCCTTTGAATGTCACAAAATGTGTATATCCATTAATTTAATTACATAAACTTTCCAAAGTACCTTGGTATGTAATGTCACTGGATGGTAAAATGTCAAGATGAAAATATATGCAATCACTATGTAATATAGGAAAAAAATAACTATCATAAAGAAGAAATGCTCAAAAATTTAAAGATCTTACCTAAAGATCTTGGGAGAATTTACATGAATTGTAATGGATTCCAGAGTGTGCATTTCATGGCAACATCATAATGAATAATGCAACAGAGAAAATAATAATGGAAGCTTTAATTTTATGCCAGGAGCTGCAAAGAATGTTTCATCTCTCCCTACTACATTTCCTACAAATTGTTATTAAGCTTTGCATAATACTGTTTTTAGAGAGGCATCATTACACTTTACACTTCATATGTATGATTCATAATAAAACCAAAATACCACTTAATGGTATAGCCCCACTAGAGAAAAATTTAGCAATATATTATATAAATAAAGATGCTAGGGGGAAAGAGGAATTGGGGAGATGTTGGTTAAAAGACATATAATTTCAGTTAGACAGAAGGAGTAAGTTCTAGAGATCTATTGTACATTATGTCTGACTATAAATAACAATATATTGTATACATGAAAATTGCTAAGAGAACAGGTTTTAAGTGTTCTCACCATGATAAAATATGTATGTGTGGTAATGCATAGGTTAAATAACTTCATTTAGCCAGTACACAAAATATACATATATGAAAATATTATGTCATACACCATAAATATATACAATCTGTACTTGCCAATAAAAAATAAAAACAAAACAAAAATATGTTATTGTCTAAAACTCATACATCCCACTTCAAGTTATAATCTTAAAGAAACTCTCAAATAGATGCACAAAACCATATATAAATAGATATATTCATTCAAGTATTATTTGATTGTAAAAAATGGAAAGCAATCAAATTGTCCATCTACTAAGGAAGGGATTTATAAATAAGCATGCTTTATTCAAACTATAGAATGTTATAGAGCAGTTAAAAACAAATGAATTATTACCCACCCAGAAGACAAAAATAAAAAAGACAACCTAAGTGTTGACAAAATGTGGAACAACTTAAACTTTCACACATTGATGGTAGAAGGGTAAACTGGAACAACTGCTCTAGAAGACTGGTTGGTAATGTCTACTAATGATAAAAGCATTGGACAGATAACCTATAATACAGGCACTAAGTTGACACTATGCTATAGATACCTGATAATACAAAAATTCTACTCCTAGGTACACAGGTAAATGTAACATGTAAAAGATGTGTACAATAATCTTCAGAGCAGTATTATTCCTAATAGCCAAACACAGGAAAACAAACAACCAAAATGCCCCCAAATAGAATGAATGTAAGTAAATGGTGGCATATTCATGTGATTATGGATAGCACTCAGGAGAGACACTTAACTATACACAATAACAGGGAGGAAGTTCATACAGCTAATATTGAGAAAAAAAGCCCAGACACAGAAGACTATACCAAATGATACCATTTGTATAAAGTTCAAAATTAGACAATACTAATCCATGTTGTTAAGGGTAAGAATATGGTTACCCTGGGGTAAGGACTGGAAGATAGTAACTAAAAGGCAGATAAAGCATGGTGGGACTTTTAGAGTACAAACAAATGTGTTACTGGAGCTAGGCACCGGTTACACAAGTGTGTTCATTCTGTGAAATTCTTCAAGATGTGCATTTATGATTTGTGCAGCTTTCCATATGTAAGTTAAAATTCAATAAAAGCTTACAAAAAAAAAAAAAAAACAACCTAAGAAATCAGACATGGGCCAGTACAGTGGCTCATGCCTGTAATCCCAACACCCAACACTCTGGGAGGCCAAGGAGGGCAAATCACTTGAGACCAGGAGTTCAAGACTAGCCTGGGCAATATGGTGAAATCCCGACTCTACAAAAAAATACAAAAATTAGCCGGGCGTGGTGGTGCGCGCCTGTAGTCCCAGCTACTCAGGGGAGCTGAGGCGAGAGGATTGCCTGAACCTGGGAGGTTGAGGCTGCAGTGAGCTGAGACTGCACCACTGCACTCCAGCCTGTGTGACAGACTGAGACCCTGTCAAGAAAGAGAGAGAGAGAGAGAAAGAAAGAAAAAGAAAGAGAGAGAGAGAGAGAGAGAGAAAGAAAGAAAGAAAGAAAGAAAGAAAGAAAGAAAGGGAAAGAGAGAGAGAGAAAGAAAGAAAGAAAAGACAAGACAAGACAAGACAAGACAAGACAAGACAAGACAAGACAAGACAAGAAAAGAGAAATCAAACCTGTGTGGATCAATGTTTATAAATCCCCTAAACATAACTTTGAAAGAAAAAATTTTCAGAGGTAGATTTGATATGATGCTGCTAATATAAATTTTAAAATCCCCAAAAACAAAAATGTGAGAATACAGATAAACACTAATTCAATATAGTAAAATAAATCTAGGGGGAGAAAAAGGTACAAGATCAGAAGACACAACATTTACTATTTTGTGGCATTATAGTTCTTAAAAAGAGTGAGATCTGAAGAAATAAAACAAAATATTAATATGTCAAGTTTGAATATGAGTACCTATTATTTCATTTTCTGTATGTTTAGAATATCTCAAAATACAAATCTTACAGAAAGCTACCACTTTGGATTCTACAGGGAAGAGAATCGTTAACATAATTTTCAATGAAATACATTCTTACCCAATTTGTCCAGATCAGCAGATCAGCAAATGCTTTTTTTATAGCTACCATTATCTGAGATGGTTGATGTGTATTTATTTTAGGTAAAGATGTTAGGTCTTAATACACTTAATGCATTTTGGACAAACCTAAAATATACACCATATGTAGAAAAATGTTACTTTCTTATTTACAAAACAAAAATGTGAGAGCTTTTAGGTTATACAATAATAAAATCACTAAACATTTAAGAGAGTTAAATGAAAATGGTCATTAGGTCATGTATGTGAAGAATATATACTTTCAAACTATTCTATAGTGTCTGACCCAAAACCGCTTTGCTACTCCTTAACATTGTTACCCATGGCTATAACAAAAATGAGTAATAATCATGGTATGAGTCGAGTTGTCAACTCCACAAAACCAGATCATAGATGCATCCACTAAAAAAGAATTACTCATTCTAGAAATACTTAGTCCCTGGTCCCAGATAACACAGCATCCTTAACACATAAGTGGACTTAACGAGTAAGTAGATTTGGAGGCTACCACCCATTTTGTGTTTAGCAAGTTTTGTCTTTACCATCTTGTCTTTATAACCAGAAGAAATATAGAGAAAACACAGGTTTTAAGTAGTTTGCGTTTGAAAAAAAAAATCACTTAAAATCAGGCTTTTGTAATAAATACTTAGCTTGATGGATTTTATCCCTCATTTAAGCATTCTGCTTCTTTGTTACAACCCTCTCTTTAGTGTCTGAGAGCAGCCAATTAGTTAAGATTTGAGGTAGTTATTCAGCAGTCACAAGATTCAAATTCAGATAAGATATTTAGGCAAGATATACAGGCTACTTTCTTAGGATAGTAACAGCTGCTTTTGCTAGAAAGCCTACATCATTATAAGAGAACATGTAGTATTATGCTTCATTTTGTTGAATTACTATTCTACAAAGATAAAGATCCAAATCAGTTATGAACACATTCAGCTGTACAAACCTTCTCAGGAAACTGGTGCCTTGCTATTTAGTAAAACCTGAATGAAACAAACATCAATTTTTAAGAAAGATTCAACTCCCATCTTGCATTTTTCCATCTTGTCAAAACTGACACTTCTCTTTTTGGACATTTAATAAATAAATTACCTTGTTTCTTATATTCCCATACATCTCAAGTTGACTAATGCACATTTTTCTGAACACTAATCAAGATGGAGCAGTATATTATTCTGTGAATTACATGTTGAAGAAGAAGAAAAAAGCTATTTCTCCAATGCCTGCTGGGAATTTGTAGAAGAAACATAAATATCTATCAGATCCCCTTTTAAGGATTTATAAATATTCCAGTTTTAAAAATTCAGGTTAACATAAAGTTACAGAAATACTAGGACACAAAAACATAATAACTTTTAAAATAACTTTACGTGGTGAATAAAATCCCTATTTCCTGAATTCAACAACTATATCATTCCTATAAGAATTCTTTCCCTCTGAATTTAATAGAATAAGTGGCTACATAAAATATTACACAATACAGGTTAGAGAGAGAGAGAAGACAACAGACACATAAGTACATACATAAGTATGTGTGGGAGTACAAACACATATATACACATAAGCATACACACACATTTATTTATTTGCACACTTATCCCTACATATAGAAAGAATAAAGGGCAAAAGAGAGACTACTACCATCAAGTAAGTGCCAGCTATGTGTCAGGTATTTTAAATATTTGATCATTTAAATTTTATATAACCAAATAAAGAAATTATTATTAGTATTTTTTTTTCACATGCAAAACTTACCAAAAATCAATATAAATTCTAACTGGCAGAGCAAACATTTGAACCCAGGTCTGCAAATGCAAAAATGGGGCTCTTTTCTCCACAGTATGCTTAAAATAAGTTTTAGATAGACTATAAGCATTGCTTTATTCTGCTTTAACACAGAAAAAATCATTCTGGCACTAGAAAGAAACATAGCTGGTTTTTAAAACAAAATCTGATTTTATTCCCAAAATTTCAATATGGCAAAGGAAAAGTTGCTACAAAGATAATTCTTAGTTGAATATGTTCAAAATGTAATTCCTTGGTAATCTGGGCTTTGGCCAAGACAAATCAAAATCATAGATATCTTACAAATGCCAAGTTTTCAGAGAAACAAAAAAAAAAATAAATGCAATAGCAACAGATGCATTTTCCCTAGACATTTGTGTTGAGCCTAGCTATATCCAGAGCCTGAAGAAAAGGGAGATTTTTTATATTTCATTTTTATGAATAATAAATTCCTGGTTTTTCTTAATGTCAACCAACTAAATAAGATGACGTTCACTCCTGGGAAAATTAACCACCTGAAAATATGGAAAAAGAAAGAAGAAAGTAAAGAAGAAAAAGAGAAAGGGAAGGAAGAAGAAGAAAAAAAAAGAAAATGAAAAAAGAGACAAGAAAACACCCCATATCTGGTACTTTTTAAAACTGAAAGTGTATTTTAAAATTTCACGTCAAAGAAAGAATACGAAGATAGTCTTTTTCATTTTCTTAACAACATACTAACATAAAATTAACAAAATAAAGTCCCACTTAGATTAAATATTAAGTATTTCTCAGAATGATAGACAACTGCATAAATTATATTAAAATTTAAGGAAAGAAACCATGAACAATTCAATAAAGATGAGTGGCTCATTACTATAGCATGGATATTCTTATATTTAATGTAATATATATCTATATTTTCATTTGAAACTGAAACATCTATATTAAAGACAAGTTTATGATAGATAAATAAACTGTGATTAAAAGTTATTAAATATATGGAAATAGACAGGTCCTCATCTATGGACATTAGCACTTTCCTGAAATAAAATACACTGCTTTGTAACATCACGAAATATTGTTTTTTAAATTCTATGTTTTTACCTTTGAATATTCAATGTTGACAGATCAAATTTGAAATTATCTCACTTTTTCTCAGAATTCTACTTAGAATCATTGAGATTGCCTTTTTAATTCTTTTTTACTTTGAATTACATTACACATGCAAAGAAGTATCTGAAATAAAGATGACAACTCAATGTTTTCTTTTCTTTTTTTAATTAATAGACTTTAAAGTACTCCTATAGATTTACAGGAAAATTGAGAAGAAAGTACAGAGAGTTCCCATGTATATCTTCTCCCACAACCCCAACACAAACCCAGTTTCCTCTATTACATTAGTGCGGTACATGTGCCACAACTGATGAACCCCTAACTGATACATTACCATTAACTAAAGTCCAGAGTTTATACCAGGATTCACTCTTTGTTTTGTACAGGCCTATGGATTTTGACAAACACATAATGCCATGTGTCCAACATTAAAATATCATAGAGAATGGCTGCACTACCATAAAAATCTTCTGTGTTCTGCCTATTTATTTCTCTCTCGCCCATAACTCCTGGCAACCACTGATAAGTTTTACTTTTGCCTTTTACAGAATGTCATATACAGGCATACCTTGGAGGTATCGCAGGTTCAGTTATCAGACTACCGTAATAAAGTATCACAATAAAGCAAGTCACATAAATTCTTTGGTATTTTCAGTGCATATAAAAGTTATAGGTACATTATACTGTAGTAGATTAAGTATGCAATAGCATTATGTCTTTAAAAAATGTACACGCCTTAACTTAAAAAATGCTTTATTGCCCAAAATTGCTAAGGGCTTATCCTTAGGAAGCAATTCCTCACTTATTAAAGTTTTATCATGAGATTGCAGCAATTCCATCACATCTTCAGGCTCCAATTCTAATTCTAGTTCTCTTTCTATTTCTACCACATCTGAGGTTATTTCCTCCACTTATGTCTTGAACCCCCCAAAGTCATCCAAAAGAGTTGGAATGAATTTCTTCCAACTCCTGTTAATGTTGATATTTTGACCACATTTCATGAACTATGAATGTTTTTAATGCCATCAGAAATCTGAATCCTTTCTAGAAGGTTTTCAATTGACTTTGCCCAGTTCCATCAGAGGAATCTACTACCTATAGCAGGTACAGCCTTATGAAATATATCTCTTAAGTAACAAGACTTCAAAGTGGAAATTACCCCTTGATCTGTGCGCTATGGAATGGATGTGTTAACAGGCATAAAGACAACATTCATCTCCTTGAACATCTCCATTGGAGCTCTTGGGTGACCAAATACATCATTTTTTATTCTTATTTTTAGAGACAGTCTCACTCTGTCACCAAGGCTGCTGTAGTAGTACAATAATAGCTCAACTGCAGCCTCCACCTCCCAGGCTCAAGTGATCCTCCTGCCTCAGCCTCCCAAGTAGCTGGGACTACAGGCACATGACACCATGCCCAGCTAATTTTTTAATTTTTTGCAGAGATGAGGTCTCGTTATGTTGCCCAGGCTGGTTTTGAACTCCTGGCCTCAAGTGTTCCTCCTGTCTTGGCCTCTCAAAATGCTGGGATACAGGTGTAAGCCACCATACCTGGCCCAGGTACATTATTAATGAGCAGTAATATTTTGAAAGAAACTTTTTTCCTGAGCAGGAGGCCTCAACAATGGGCTTAAAATATTCAGTGAACCATGCTGAAACATATGTGCTGTCATCCAGGCTTTGTTGCTTCATTTCTAGAGCAAAGACAGAGTAGATTTAGCATTTAATTATTAAGGCCCTAGGATTTTCAAAATGGTAAATGAGCACTGGCTTCAACTTAAAGTCATTAACTGCATTAGCCTCTAACAAAAGAGTCAGCCTGTCCTTTGAAGCTTTGACGCCAGGCACTGACCTCACTTCTCTAGCTAGAAAATTCCTAGATGGCATCTTCTTACAATAAAAGGTTGTTCTATCCACATTGAAAATCTGTTATTTAATGTAGCCAACTTTATCAATGATTTTAGCTAGATCTTCTGGATAACTTGCTGCAGCTTCTATATCAGCATGTGCTGTTTCACCTCAAACTTTATGAAGTTGGCTTATTTCCTTTAACCTCATGAACCAACCTCTCTTAGCTTCAAACATTTTTCTTGCATCTTCCTCACCTCTCTCAGCCTTTACCAAATTGAAGAGAGTTAGGGCCATGCTCTTTATTAGGCTTTGGCTTAGGGGAATGTTGTGGCTGGCTTGATCTTTTCTCCAGACCACTAAAACTTTCTTCATATCAACAGTAAGCCTGTTTCATTTTCTTATCACTCATATGTTCACTAAAGTAGCACTTTTAATTTCCTTCAAGAACTTTTCCTTTGCATTCAGAACTTTGGGCTGTTTGTCATAAGAGGCCTAACTTTCGGCCTATGTTGGCTTTCCACATGCCTTCCTCACAAAACTGAATCATTTCTAACTTTTGATTTAAAGTGAGTGATATGTGACCCTTCCTTTCACTTGAACACTTAGAGGCCATTGCAGGTTTATTACTTGGCCAATTTCAACATCGTTGTTTTTTAGGGAAGAGGGAAGGAAGCCTGAAGAGAAGGAGAGAGACAGGGGAAGGACCAGTTGGTGGAGCAATCAGAACACACATAACATTTACCAATTAAGTTTGCTGTTTTACATGGATCCAGTTTCTGGGCCCCAAACAATTATAATAGTAACATCAATGATTACCGATCACAGCTCACCATAATAGATATAATAACATGAAAAGTTTCATATATTGCAAGAATTACCAAAATGTGATACAGACACAAAGTGATCACATTCTGTTGGAAAAGCAGCTATATTAGTCCGTTTTCATGCTGCTGATAAAGACATACTGGAGACAGGGCGATTTACAAAAGAAAGAAGTTAAATGGACTTATAGTTTCACATGGCTGGGGAGACCTCAAAATCATGGCAGAAGGCAAGGAAGCAAGTCACATCTTACATGGATGGCAGCAGGCAAAGAGAGAGCTTGTGCATGGAAATTCTCATTCTTAAAACCATCAGATCTCCTGAGGCTTATTCACTATCATGAGAACAACATAGGAAAGACCTGTCCCATGATTCAATTATCTCCCACCGGGTCCCTCCCACAACACGTGGGAATTATGGGAGCTACAAGGTAAGATTGGGTGAGGACACACAGCCAAACCATATCATTCCAGCCCTGACCCCTCCCAAATCTCATGTCCTCACATTTTAAAACCAATCATGCCTTCCCAACAGTCCTCCAAAGCCTTATTTCAGCATTAACTCAAAAGTCCACAGTCCAGTGTTTCATCTGAGACAAGCCAAGTCCCTTCCCCCCATGAACCTGCAAAATCAAAAGCAAGCTAGTTACTTCCTAGATACAATGAAGATACAGGCATTGGGAAAACACAGCCATTCCAAATGGAAGAAATTGACCAAAACAAAGTGGATACAGGGCCCATGCAATTCTGAAACCCAGCAGGGCAGTCAAATCTTAAAGCTCCAAAATGATCTCCTTTAACTCCAGGTCTCACATCCAGGTCATGCTGATGCAAGAGGTGGGTTCCCATGGTCTTGGGCAGCTCTGCCCCTGTGGCTTTGCAGGGTACAGCCTCCCTCCCGGCTGCTTTCACCAGCTGGCATTGAGTGACTGTGGCTTTTCCAGGCACATGGTGCAAGCTGTCCGTGGATCTACTGTTCTGGGGGCTGGAGGACGGTGGCCCTCTTCTCACAGTGCACCAGTGCACCAGTAGGGACTCTGTGTGGGGGCTCTGACCCCACATTTCCCTTCTGCACTGCCCTAGCAGAGATTCTCCATTAGGACCTGTCCCTGCAGCAAACTCTGCCTTTGCAGGTATTTCCACACGTCCTCTGACATCTAGGCGGAGGTTCCCAAACCCCAATTCTTGACTTCTGTGTACCAGCAGGCTCAATACCACATGGAAGCTGCCAAAGCTTGAGGCTTGAACCCTCGGAAGCCACAGCCCTAGCTCTACATTTGTCCCTTTCAGCTATGGCTGGAGTGGCTGGGATGCAGGGCATCAAGTCCCTAGGCTACACCCAGCATGGGGACCCTGAGGACAGCCCATAAAACTACTTTCTCCTCCTAGGCTTCCTGGCCTAGGGGGAGGGGATGCCATGAAGACCTCTGACATGCCACAGAGACGTTTTCCCCATTGTCTTGAGGATTCACATTCAGCTCATTATGTATGCAAATTTGTGCAGTAGGCTTGAATTTCTCCTCAGAAAATGGGATTTTCTTTTCTATCGCATTGTCAGGCTGCAAATTTTCCAAACTTTTATGCTCTGCTTCCCTCATGAAATTGAATGCCTTTAACAGCACCCAAGTTACCTCTTGAATGCTTTGCTGCTTAGAAATTTCTTCTGCTAGATATCTTAAATCATCTCTCTCAAGTTCAAAGTTCCAAAAATCTCTAGGGCAGGGACAAAATGTCACCCGTCTCTGCTAAAACATAACAAAAGTCACCTTTGCTCCAGTTCCCAACAAGTTCCTCATTTCCTTCTGAGACCACCTCAGCCTAGACTTTATCGTCCATATTGCTATCAGAATTTTGGGCAAAGCCATTCAAAAAGTCTTTAGGAAGTTCAGAACTTTCCCACATTTTCCTGTCTTCTTCTGAGCCCTCCAAACTGTTCCAACCTCTGCCTGTTACCCAGTTCCAAAATAACTTCCACATTTTTGGGTAACTTTTCAGCAGAGCCCCATTTACTGATACCA
Source organism: Homo sapiens (assembly GCF_000001405.40). NCBI lineage: Eukaryota > Metazoa > Chordata > Mammalia > Primates > Hominidae > Homo > Homo sapiens. The sequence goes on along the minus strand of NC_000007.14, from coordinate 114,168,158 downwards.
ATTTACTGTATTAGTCCATTTTCACACTGCTCATAAAGACATACCCAAGACTGGGTAATTTATACAGGAAAACAGTTTAATAAACTCACAGTTCCACATGGCTGGGGAGGCCTCACAATCACAGTGGAAGGTGAGGAGGAGCAAGTCATGTCTTACATGGATGGCAGCATGCAAAGAGAGAGCTTGTGCAGGCAAACTCTCGTGTTTTTTTTTTTTTTTTTTTGAGATGGAGTCTTGGTCTGTCACCCAAGCTGGAATGCAGTGGTGTAATCTCGGCTCACTGCAACCTCTGCCTCCCAGGTTCACACCATTCTCCTGCCTCAGCCTCCCGAGTAGCTGGGACTACAGGCACCCGCCACCAGGCCCAGCTAATTTTTTGTATTTTTAGTAGAGACAGGGTTTCACCATGTTAGCAAGGATGGTCTCGATCTCCTGACCTCCTGATCCGCCTGCCTCAGCCTCTCAAAGTGCTAGGATTACAGGCCTGAGCCACCATGCCCAGCCCCAACTCTCATTTTTAAAACCATCAGATCTCCTGAGACGTATCCACCATCACGAGAACAGCACGGGAAAGACCTGCCCCCATGATTCAATTATCTCTCACTGGGTCCCTCCCATAACACATGAAAATTACGGGAGCTATGAAATGAGATTTGGATGGTGACACAGAGCCAAACCATATCAGTGGCACCAATAGACTTGCTCAACTCAGGGTTGCCACAAACCTTCAATTTGTAAAAAAACATAGTATCTGCAAAGCACAACAAAGTGAACCACCACAAAATAGCATATGCCTGTGGTTGGAATCATACAGTATGCAGCCACTTCATATAGCTTCAATCACTTAGCAGTACATATTTAAGGTTTTTCCATGTCTCTTTGTGGTTTGGTAGCTCATTTCTTTTTATTATTGAATAATATTCCCTTGTCTGGATGTATCACAGTTTGTTTATCCATTAACCTACTGAAAGACATCTGGGATGTTTAACCAAGTTACCCTAGTTAAAGTTGCTTGTTATAAATGTTCTAGTGCAAGTTTTTGTGTGGACTTACGTTTTCAGCTAATTTGGAGTTCAACTCATTTCATACTTTGGAGTGTCACTGCTGGATCACATAGTAAGACTATGTTTAGCTTTGTAAGAAACTACCAAACTGTCTTTCAAAGTGGTTATATGACTTTGCATTCCATCAGCAATGAGTGAGAATTCCCATTGCTCCACATCCTCACCATCATTTGGTGTTATCAGTGTTTTGGATTTTTGCCATTCTAATAAGTCTGTAGTGGTACCTCAATGTTTTAATTTGCAATTAGCTAATGACATACAATATTGAGCATCTTTTCATATGCTTACTTGCCATATGTAAATCTTCTTTAGTTAGGTATATGTTTAGAGCTCTTGTCCATTTTTTAATTGAGTTACATGTTTTCTTATTTTATTTATTTATTTATTTTTGAGACAAAGTCTCACTCTGTCACCCAGGCGGGAGTGCAGTGGCGCAATCTTGGTTCATTGCAACCTCTGCCTCCCAGGTTCAAGCAATTCTCCTGCCTCAGCCTCCCGAGGAGCTGGGGCTACAGGCACATGCCACCATGCCTGGCTAATTTTTTTGTATTTTCAGTAGCGACAAGGATTCACAATGTTAGCCAGGATGGTCTTGATCTCCTGACCTCGTGATCTGCCCACGTCGGAACTCCCAAAGTGTTGGGATTACAGGCGTGAGCCACCACACCTGGCCATATGTTTTCTTATTATTTTTAAGAGTTCTTTGTAGTATATTTTAGATACAAATCTTTTATCAGATACCTATTTTACAAATATTTTCTCCCAGTTTGTGGCTTATCTTTTCATTCTCTTAACAGAAGCTTTCCTCAAAATAGAAATTTTTAATTTTAATGAAATCCAACTTATTAATTTTTTTCATGGATCATATTTTTGATGTTGTATCTAAAAAGTCATCAGCAAACCCAAGGGTACTTAGATTTTCTTCTATGTTATCTTCTAGAAGTTTTATAGTTTTTTGTTTTATATTTAGCTTTGTGATCCATTTTGAGTTCACTTTTATGAAAGGTATAAGGTCGTCTAGATTAACTTTTTTAACACATAAATGTCCAGTTGTTTAAGCACTATTTGTTGAAAAGACTGTCCTTTCTTCCTTGAATTGTCTTTGCTCCTTTGTTAAAGATGAATTGACTATATTTGTGTGGGTCCATTTCTGAGTTTTCTACTCTGTTTCAATGATCTATGTTCTTTCAACAATACCATATTATCTTGATTACTTAGCTTTATACTAAGTCTTAAAGTTGGAGACTGTCAGTCCTCCGATTTTCTTTTTCTTCCTCAATATTATGTTGGCTAATGTGGGCCTCTTCCTTTCCAAATAAACTCATGAATTAGTTTGTCAATACCCACAAAATAACTTGCTGGGATTTTGACTGGGATTGTGTTGAATATACATATCAACTTAGGAAGAAGTGACATCTAAATATTGAACCCATCTATCCATGAAAAGGGACTATCTCTCCATTTATTCAGATCTTTGATTTTCTTTCATCAGAGTTTTATTGTCTTCCTAATATTGATCTTATACATATTTTATTAGATTTATACCTAAGTATTTATCTTTTTGGTGTTAATATAAACAGTACTGTATTATTAATTTAAAACCCCAATTGTTCACTGCTGGCATCTGAGAAAGCAATTGACTTTTGTATATTAACCTTGTGTTAACACTAATCACTCATTAGTTTCAGGAGTTTATGTTGTTATTGATTATATGGGATTTTCTATACAGACAATCATGGCATTTGCAAGTGAAGAGTTTTATTTCTTCCTTCCCAATCACAATGTCTTTTGTTTCCTTTTTTTGTTTTCTTGCCTTAGCTAGGACTTCCAGTATAATGTGGAATAGGAGAGGTGAGAAGGAACCTCGTTGCCTTGTCCCTGACCTTAGCAGAAAAGCATCCAGTTTCTCATCAATAGATTTTTCATGAAACAAACCTCCATGTAACTATCAGACAGGTGAACAAACAGAATGTTTCCAACATACCAGAAAATTCTGGAACCTCCACCTCAATTTATTACCTACCTACAATTTAACCATTATTCCAATTTTGTTATCATCACTTCTTGCATTTCCAAACACTAAAGTCTAGTTTGGAACTTTATATATATATATAAACATACTGTATAATTTTGGGGGGTAGAGGTTTTCCACTCAACTTTTTATTTCTGCAGTTCAACCACTATAATCTGTGCTGTAATTTGTTCATTCTTATTTCTGTAGAGCAGAGGGTCACCAAGATTTTTCTGTGAACGGCATTATTTTCCAATTCTTCATCAACCTCAAACCATAAATGGGAGCACGGTACTGACCCACCAAATTTAAATAGGCTTTTAAAGTTTCATCACATTTTTCAATAAGAAGAAAAGCTGTTTCACGTTAGTGAAAAGAATGGTAAGGTTTGTAGTATTTCTTCAAGGTTTTTCTATCTAGTTCAATGATTTAAAAAATGTTTTGGGCCGGGCACGGTGGCTTATGCCTGTAATCCCAGCAGTTTGGGAGGCTGAGGCGGGCGGATCACAAGGTCAAGAAATCGAGACCAGGCCAACATGGTGAAACCCCATCTCTACTAAAAATACAAAAGTTAGCTGGGTGTGGTGGCATGCATCTGTAGTCCCAGCTACTCAGGGATTCTGAGGCAGGAGAATCACTTGAATCCAGGAGGGGGAGGTTGCAGTGAGCCGAGATCGCACCACTGTACTCCAGCCTGGTGACAGAGTGAGACTCCATCTCAAAAAGAAAAAAAAAAAAGAAAAGTTTTGAACTGAACATCTAAGTCCAAAACGAAAAAAACAAACAAAAAAAAAGTTTTGAACTGAACATCTAAGTCCAAAACGAAAAAGTCTTCCTTTTCTATGCATAGTTACTGCTAAATTCAGTTTGTGCTAATTTATAATTATAGATTTTCAGGAATGACCAGTGTTTAGGTGGCTCTATCAGAATGCACCACGTAACAAGATTAAACATGAACCTGGAAATTATGTAGATTTTTCACCGTGGGCCACTTGGACCACTCCATCAGATGCTATGTCAATAAGAATATTGCATTGAAAACCTTGTCAATTTTGGAGATAACTGTATGCAATGTATGACTTAGCCGTAGTCAACTTTATTAAGTTTTCATTTTCTACTGTAGAATTTGAACTTTTAAAGACCAAACAATATGTATCATTGAGATCTTTTACTGAGGAATAATAAAATGATCAATTATTAAGTAAAAGTCAAATTTCTGGCAGTTAAACCAGTATATCACAACCATTATATCACATTATCATAAGGATGATGCCCTAGGTAACATTCCAGATAAAAGTCGTCACAAAGAACAAGAGATTTCTTCCTAAGTAATTGTCCTAAGACAAGTATTAGCTTCAATCCTCCTTCTATCAACTTCTGAACAGCAACAAAATTCTATGTTTCTATATAATCATTAATACATATCTTTTAAGTTTTTCCTAACAGATAGGGAATCAGTCTTTCCAGTACACTGAGCCGACAAAATTGATATATTTGTGTAGCAGATTATGGATAAAAATTCAGTTCAATTCAGTTTCACCACACGGAGTGAATAAAGAAATTAATGTATCTTTTACCAGGTGGTAGATTCAAGCAGACATATTAAGATAGTCTTATTCTCAGATATGAAGAAATATAAAAGAAAAAAAAACAAAGTTTAGAGCAAAAAGAGATTATAATGGCAAAACTGCAGATACTATATCAAAGGAAATTTCCTTCTTTTCATCAGAATACTCAAAATTCTTAACGGCTCTCTATCAGAAAATACAATTAATATTAATCTATTTTACATTAAATATTATTATTGTAAGGTATCATTTTATATTATGTTAGTAAGTATTGTCACAAATCAAAACTTAGAAGTTACAACCAAAACACCTGCATATTTTGTAGAGGAAAAAATCCAAACAATATTGTCAGCACATTATTTCTACTAAAACCTGAATAGCAATAAAAACTGAGAGATGAAAAATATGTACAGTACAGATGACTTACATTTGGAGAGTTAGACTTTAATTCTCTCTCTCAGGATTGAGGAATCTTATTCTTTGTGCTTACAATGCTCCTTTCTCCAGAGTATTCTTCTACTTCCAGGATAGGTCAGGACAAAGCTTCAACAGACTTCTATTATTTGTTTGATCTAGAGGGAAATTATACTTTTAATCAATTATTACAAAACGCATCAGTTTTTTTTTTCTTACTGTACTGGGGGGTTGAAGCTTCCTATTATTTTCTGTTGGATATGAGGTGAACAGAAATATAAGAATTGCCTTGTTAAACATTATAATAAATAAATCTAGTATTTAAATTAACACCACTAAAAGAAACCCACATCTATCTTCTTTTTCCTTTTTATGGCTAAGCAGCATAGCAAGAGAAAATTAATAATCAAAATCTAAATGACTACAAAGCCTACTCAAATGTATTTTTTAAAAGACTTTAACATAATTTTGCAAATCCGTGAGTTTGAATGGACTGGCAAAGACGATTAGGTATGAGATATTTTTACTCATTTTTTTTAATGTCTTAGGGCTGAAGAATTACAGGATGATTAGAAAAGTGTAAAGGAAAAAATGTTTTTAAAAATTTTAATGGAATAATAAAAAAAGATGATTTTAAGAACATGAAACAGACCAGAAACAGTACAGGGCCTGTAAGACAGCAAGAAATCTGGAATGAGATTTTTTTTAATGGTACAAAGGTTGGGAAACTGCTACTGAAGCAAGGTATATTGGACATCCTAGCATATTTAACATGGGTATGTTCTAAATCTGGTTTCATCTTAATTCTCAAACAAATTTACAAGATGTAAAAATGCAACACATCCCACCTTTCTTTACAAGAACACAGAAATGTGATAGATGAATATCTGACCTTTGGTGAGATGAACATTCATAAGTTTAAGAGAATTTGTTCTATATTCAAATTTTATCAAAACCTAAGTTTCCAATAATGGGTATTTTCTGCATCATTAAAATTAAGAATTAAGACAAATATCTTCGGCCTGGCATGGTGACTCACGCCTGTAATCCCAGCACTTTGGGAGGCCAAAGCAGGCAGATCACTTGAGCTCAGGGGTTCACGACCATCCTGGCCAACATGGTGAAACCCTGTCTCTACTAAAAATACAAAAATTAGCCAGGCATGGTGAAATGCGCCTGTAATGTCAGCTACTCAGGAGGCTGAGGCACAAGAATTGCATGAACCCAGGAGGCAAAGGCTGTAGTGAGCCAAGATTGAGATCATGCTACTGCACTCCAGCCTGGGCAACAGAGTGAGACCCTGTCTCAAAAAAAAGATAAATGTCTTCAACATGTGCCATTACCTGGATCACATCCCCTTGCCTTATCTTGAAGTCACTCATACTCCCTTCCACTAAATAATAAACTGGAATTCAGGGGGAACATTTAAAGCAAAATTATATATATACACGCACACACACACACATACACGTGTTTAGGGCAAATGTGCATGATAGCACTTTAAAGTTAGTTTTTGCTCATAAACTTAACACAATATACTGGTGGTATTTATTAAAAAAAAAAACTATTGTGAGAAAATAGTTAAAACAAAGCCAAAAAACATCTATATCAGAATAGCTAAAATACAAAAAGTAAAATATATGTGGGCAAAAGGGCACCTCTTTAAACCATCATCTATCTGATCACAAATTGATACTTGTGCAATTTTCTTCTGTTTTTAACCAATGTAAATGATATTCGCAATTATTTACCTAGAATATCTCAAAATTATTTCAAGGTGAAATAAAAACATAAACTTCATTACTGAAGATTAAAGCTATATCCACTGAAGACTAGATTTTAGGATTAGAGTAGGTGTTTTGTTTTCTTTTCTAAAGATTCAACTAATCTTGGCCAAATTTGAAAGTCTTAGTACTGAAACTTATCAACAGGCACTTTCTAGATGAATATATCCACATGGCAGTTCAAGCACAAGTAGTTCTGCTTTAGTTTCCAGAACACGGAAGTGGTTTTGCAGTATTTTGGGTCAGTGAAGACCAATGCACATTCCTTTAGGGAAGCTTTTTGAATTGACAAAGGATAAATGATTGACATCAATAACAAATACTTTTTGTTGTCCTGGACTGACATGTCATTTAGAACAATACGTATGCTAATTAATGCCATCCATATCTACCAGATGTGTCAGAGGAGTATGCCAGACTCTTCTTCACAGGATATAGCTTTAGTGTGGCTAAAATTACATTATCAATATGGAAATGCATCCCTTTGTGATAAAGAACTGAACTACTCACACACACACACACACACACACACACAGAAAATATACTTTTCATGATAGAGAAAATCCCATTTATATGTACAACTAGCTGTACTTTTTCTTAACCTTAACCCTAATAATTATAGTATATAATGTGCTAAAATACTAGTTGAGGTCTTCATAAACCACACTATCAACATGACACTTTACTATAATACATTAAAATTTCATTTGCAGATTCTCTCAAGTATGCTGGTAGTCATTAACAACTAGAACTATGTATTAATCATCTTCATTTCCCATCCCTTAGGACAGAGCTTGGTATATAGTGGGCACCTTTTTTTTAAATAAACATTTAAGTCACCAAAATTATGTAGAGTATATATGTCAATGAATTCACCATATACAAAGAAAGAATTACAAATGTTGTCAACTAAAACTAGTCATGAGATAAACCTATAAAGAACTCTTCTTATTGTCTGGTAGTTTTGGGGCTCAGAAAACAATATCCCAAAATGAAGGCCTCAGAAGTAGCCTCAGAAAGCAATGTTTGTCTCTGATCTTCTGCACTCCTGTCTCTCAGTCCCATTTTCCCCCAAGGCTAGCCATAGAAACTAGAATCCCTCCTCCTCAAGGGAAGTCCTAGAAATCAAAGCCCCCTTTCCTCAAAGCTAGTCAAAACCTAAAAATATTACTCTAATTTTTCCCTCACCTTTCTGTGCCATAACTTGCTGTAAAGAAATTATCTAACCTATACTATTTGACTGTAGGTCTTCAGATCCCCGGAAAGTCCTGCCCCGTACCAGGAAGGAATGCATGCTCAGAGACCAGGGAGAATCTAGACAGACAGGCCTTGCTGGAGTTCTCCACTCAGTCTATTAGCATTAAATCATACACTTTTCCTCCAATATTTCTACACAGCTGTCTATAGTTTGTTGAGCCTTTGCATAAAAATAGAGAACTTCCCCTGTATCTTTGGATCTTCATGCTGAGGGCTCCTATGTATACATGTTAAATAAGTTTATATGCCTTTTTCCAATTAATCTGTCTTTTGCAAGTTGATTTTTTTGGTGAACCTTCAGAAGGCCAAGGGTAACTTGCCCCTTTGGCTCCTACAATAGCTAGCACTGAATAAATGTGAACTATAATCCAGTGATCGTTAGTCCTGGATTAGCTGGGATAGATGTGGTTCATACCTATTGCAATTATTAATAGCTATCCCTTTCCCTCTCAGAAGTGTCCCAGTTTGGATGGTAATTTTACACATTCATCCAAAGTATCATTAGTGTATTATTCATTTATCATTTATTTCTTTTCATAAATAAATTACTGTTTTTTTCTTTTTCATTACTTTCCATGATGCTGTTACATGAAAAAAAAATCATTTGTTGGAATTAGAATGAAAGAGATTCCATTCTTTCAACATTAATAAATTTATATAGACGTTCTCAGAGTTTAGTAAATCTTTACATCCTTGAAACTAAACATTTTATTATCAGGACAGGAATAACCTAGCTGAAAAATCCAATATGACTTCTTAATTCTTAGTTTGCTTAACTTCTCTGCTTCATTTAGCTCATTGTTTACTCTTTCCTTCTCAAAACTCTTCCTTTGGTTTGCATGATACCACTCTTTCTTAATTCCTCTCCTAACTCTCAACCCTGTTTTTCAGTCTTGTGGGTTACTATTCTTACATGTGCCTCTACCATGTCAGTTTCCTCAAGATACCATTCTAGTCCCAATTTGTATTCTTTTTCTTGAATCAACAACTACTTGTTGCAAATGATTCTCGAACATATACATCCAGTCCACAACCCTCCCCTAACCTTCACATTCAAAGTACCTACTGGTTATACAATCTCCTTTCTGGTCCCTTATCCTTCATTCTTAACTCTCTTGAATCCATACTACACACCCAACCCAAGTCTTTTTGTTATTTGTTTTTCTGAATGTAAATCTGATAGGATTGCTCTCAGACCAAGGAAACAACCAACAGTTATGGAAGGAGTGAACATCTGCGGAAAACTCCAAGGCAACATAAAACAGACTGAATCTAAACCCACTAGAATAAGTGATCAGTTACTGGTCTCTCATTTGTAATCCCAACTTATTTTGACTACAAAAATTTTTGCATGTAGTCGTTAGGTTTCAAGGCAACAATCACCAGAAAGAATAATATGATAAATATCACATACAACATAAGGGTCACAAAATAAAATACCTAAAGACAAAAATATTAATTAGGCAAGGCGCAGGACAAAGGAAAGTTTCATGGTACTATGGCAAAGTCTCTAAAGAGGTGTTTTTTTAAGACCCATAAAATTACTGCCATTACTGCTTTGTAGGAATGTAGGTTTAGTCTTGCCAAATCGGAATTTCCCAGACAGACTGGTAAATCATTATGTGTGTGCATGAGAGAGAGAGTGAGACAGAGTCCAATTTTTAAGATTTAACAACTAAGTTCATATTAAAAAAAAAATAAATACCAACAAATAATACTTGCAAGCTCTGTAAAGGACATGGACCACTCCCTTCTTTTTTAACACGAGGGTTAAATGGATGGGCTAGCCTGCGACCTGACAACCAAGTACAACATGTTTTCCAAATAAAAGTCTGGTTTGAGTTTTGAACAATCAGTAAATATATTTTGCTATACAACACACTTATATTTTGACAAAATATTTGCTATTGACTTTTAGCACTTTAAAACATCTAGTAAATGCAATTTTTCATCCTCTTTTGCTCAGCTGTCTTCCACTGACTCTTAAGTATCTTCACTTGAATATTCTGATTCTGACTCTTACTCAAATAATGGCTGATATATTTTCAGTTCTATCCCAAGTCTTTTTGTTTGTTTTCTTAAATATTGTTTCTTAAATATATACCAAAGAATACTAAGTGTCTCTAGAAAGCATCTTAAAAGCAGTCTCTCTTCCACCTACTACTATAATGATAGTTTTTCCCTCTTTACTCCAATAACAATTTCAAATTCATATTTCTCACATCTACCAAATGTCTTCAAACATCCCTCTCATCATTATCTTTACAGAATATGCCAGACATACCTTTTGCAAATATATAATATGTTTTTATAGTACATTAGACTGGCACAGGGGGAAGTGGGGGAACACATTAATGCCTAAATTTAATATATGTGACTTCAAGTCATCCAACTATTTCCCTGGTGCCTCTTCTTACAAGTGCATCAACTAGGATAGGGAGGGGCTCCTGAATACCTACCAAATAAAACAAAACTTATTAGCCTAAAACCTAAGGCCTTTCATTCTTAGGATTGAATTTGCCTCTCCTTTACTTTGTTTCACTTATCTCTACATTCTAGAATCAAACTGAGCTATTAGATATTTGCTTTGATTTTTTTAGAGTCTTAATTTGCTCCACTTAGCATGTCTCTATTCAAATTCTATTTGTCCAAATGTTACCATACCTTTCAAGCCTCAATTTAATTACCATTAACTCCATGAAATACTCCCCTATTCTCTTAGCCAGGAATAAGCTACTCAAATAGCATTTTCTCTACAGCTCCCCTCTAAAAACTGTCCATGCAATCTACTATGTAATACATTTGTCCACATACCTGATTTCTAACATTTAATTTAAAATTATTTGAAAATAGAGAATGTATTATTCATCTGTGTTTTTCTTAACAATGTAACTTTATTATGAAGAAATTACTGAGTCATTTGACAAGGAATGGTATGGAAGATAGAGGCAGAGCTATAGTATAACTCAAAGACAGTTATGTTAAGTCCTTCTTAATCTTTTGTTTTCATCAACTGCAAGAAATAATTATCACTGCCATTATTTCCAAATAAATAAATCTGTCAAAAATATGTCTCATGCCAACCAAGTCATTGGCTTTTATAAAAAACTTACTAGACAATCTATACTGAGATAGTCAAATAAAACACGTGGTTTTAAATAACTTATTTAAAGTTCTAAGTCAACATTAAAATTTAAGATTGTTTTTCATGAAAATCATGTTACATGACAATTTCTTTTAAATGATAAGATAAATGTCTTTCCTAAGGCCCACTACATACAATATGAAAAGTAAGATTAAAACTAGCATACTGTCAACTAAAAGTCAAGTTTGAAAAATATTTGAAGAGATTTTTTCTCAGCCAAATATGAGTACCATGACCTGTGACACAACACCAGGAGATCTTGAGGACATGTTGTTGACCTTAGCTTGGTTTTATACATTTGAGGGAGACATAAGACATCAATCAATACATGTAAGATATACAATGGTCTGGTCTTGAAAGGTGGAACAACACAAAGTGGGAATGGGTCTCCCGGTCATAGGTGGATTCAAAGATTTTCTCATTGGCAATTGGTTGAAAGAGTTATTATCTGAAGAACTGGAATCAATAGAAAGGAATATCTGGGTTAAGATAAGGGGCTGTGAAACCCAATCTTTTATCATGCAGATGAAGCCTCCAGGTAGCTGGCTTCAGAACTCCTACTGTTACAGTGGGTAGCTAGTCAGACATGAGCAGAGCAGGAGAGAGCTCTTCTCCCACATGCACACACACACCAAAAATGTCAGGCAACCAATAACATTTCAAGTTATTGTTAACTGTCTCTGTAAAAAAATAACTGGTGGCAGACAGCACCAGGAAAAGGCAGTCTCCTGATAGAAAAAAACTAAAACTGGTGATCAGCAGCTTCTGGATAAGATCTCAGGAGTTGGGTGAGTGGGAGGAAGCATGTGCATTAAGAGGCAAAATGGCACAGGTTAACTGGTGTATGACTTTCTAGTAATACTCAGACTGGTAAGGGAAGAACGCCTCAAGTGAACATGGGTACAACCTCAGTAAACACACTGCACATGCTCCCCTCCCAAGTGTTAGCAAGCCACTGTGCATACAGACAGTGCACCCCAAGGGAAGAGTCAGCGGAGAAGGGATGCAACCCCCCAGAAACATGCTGACATACAAAACTCCAAGTCAAAAGGTCAAACCGCACATTTGATCTCTTAAGTCACCCACTTGGCCCTCTTCTATGCATACTTCCTTTCATTCCTGATCGAAAACGTTTTAATAAACTTTCACTCCTGCTTTAAAACTTGCCTCGGTGTCTCCTGCCTTATGCCCCTCAATCAAATTCTTTCTTCTGAGGAGGTAAGAACTGAGGTTGTTGCAGACCCATACAGATTTGCTGCTAAAATACTTTCGTGCCACATGACACAGACACTTTCCACTGCTAACATTATCAGACCTAAAATGGTGCCAGATTCCTTGCTAATTCTCTCCTGCATCAGGGAAAAGACCTGAAAAGGGATTCCCTGTAGAATGTAGCTTTTCCTCACAAGAGACAGCTTTCCAGGGCCATTTCAAAATATGTCAAAGAAATATATTTTGGGGTAAAACACTTTAATTATTTTAAGGGTCTGCTATCTGTCATGTGATGCTATACTAGAGTCACGTTGGAATTTGGTGTCTTATTGCTACAGGGTCTGTTTTGTCAGTCTTAAGATCTCTGTTTTAATGTTAATGCTGAACAGCTGCGCCTGAATTCCAAAGGAAGAGGATATAATGAGGCATGTCTGATCCCCCTTCCCATCATGGCTTGAACTAGATGTTCAGGTTTACTTTGGAATGTCCTTCCTGGATGAGAGGTGGGTCCATCAGTCAGTTGGGGGTCTTATAATTTTATTTTTGGTTTACAATACCCAACATATATAGGGTCATCCAAGTAGTTGTTAAGAGTCAGAAACAGGAGTACTAAGTCATTTTCTAAATTCTATTAATAACTGTATTAGCAGCCAATTTTAGAAAATGGAATACTTACATGAGTTATTTTAGGGAAAAGAACTTATCTACATAATCTTTGGGTCAAGATTGGTACCTGACATAACGTAGATTGTCAGTGAATGATAAGGATCTTCTAACTGGGAAGACTTAGTGAGACTCTGGTTCAACCCCCACAATTTACAGAAGAAATTCACAGAAGTATTTTCCCCAGAATCTCAGAGGGTATAAATGGCAGAGACAGGATTTGACCTCAGGATAACTGTCCTAAATCCAGCAGTCTTTTCTTTTGGAAATCCAAATTTACTCACTATTCAGTTTATATATAAATATACACATATAGTATTTAATCTCTTTGAACACATTTTGAAATACTAATTTCCATTAAATAATATATTTAATCAAAAGTAGAACATACCAATATTCTTTGTATAAGTTGTCCACAGACAATGCTTTTTATAACACTTTGAAGTTCACATTAACCATTTCACTTATATATTTACACATTTTTAACTGTAGAGTCAAATAAGGGTATCAAAACTATAAAACTAATAATCTTCCATTCTCAAAAAGGCACAACAAGTATCAGCATCAATGGATTCATACTTAAAGGAGATGTACTTACACTTATTTTTTGAATAATTTCTGAGTAGTTGATGATTGTTTATTAGCTTGTTTATGATGTGGAAAAAAATCTCAGAGCAAATAGGCAGGAGAGGTGGAAAAAAAAAACCCACCTTATCTATATTGCCCTGACAATTGAGTTTGGACAACAGTATTTTCTAAATGTACCCTATTCAAGGCTGGATATGTAATTACCTTCAGTTCATAGTCTAGACATTAATGCTTTCATAGTATTTAAGACTCCTTGTAACATGCTTGCAGCTTTAAGTAAGCAAGGCTAAATCTTGACCAGATAAATTAGCAAAGAATGCAATAAAAGCTGCAATAAAAGAACTTTATCCTACAAACCTTCAAGTTGCTGCTAAATGAGATTTCTTTGAAATGCAGATCAGTTGAACTAGATTAGTGAATTTTAGCTCCTGTCAACATCATAACAAAATACAAATACAATTGTTCACTGGTCTTATCTCCATGCTTCCATCTGCTGCCTTGTTATTTACTTTCCTTGATTTACTATGCAGATCTAAATAAGGCACATCAAGGAGGGCTTACAACACAATGGCTTCTTAAGCTTTACATCAAGGTATTTGAAACTGAAGCCAGGAAAGGGCTGCCATCAAAGACATATCTCTAATGAACTTCCATATCAGAGAAGGTTTGGTATTTAATACTGCTGTGAAAAGAAAGAGCTACAAATCAGAATGGCCTATGAAAGAAAATGCCTACAAATCTTGATGAGATTAGCACCTCTGAGAATTAATATCCCAATAAAAATGATGTCTGGTACATTCAAGAGTTAACTTCCAACCTTTGCAAATATAATGCACTATGTCAAGAGCAGGGAAATCATTTGACAAGGTTAAAAGGTCAGGAAAGAATTTTTAATTCCCCCCAATGCTAGAAAATAATATTTTTTATTTCTGCTCATAGTAACTCCATGTCAGAAGAAACACATTTAAACATAATTAACACAACTAACAGATTTGTAACATTACTTTCTACGTCATAAGCATTTTTCACTATTGTTCAAAAAGGAAAACTAGGAACAACTACACAATAAAATAATGTAATCTAAAATGACAGCATGCAACATTTGTTCATCAATTCTAGTATTTTCCTTTTCTTCCCCCACAGCAATCTATGGCAACAGAGAGTAAAATCTTCTGTCATTTTGCAAATCCTGAGGTGCCATTTTTATTTTATGGCACTACTCTTTTTAAGAGATACAGATAAGGAAAAAATTTATTCTACCCTTTCTTTAACCTAATTGTGTTTTCCCAGTTTTATTTCTAATATGCCAAAGTCAAACAAGACAATAATTCACAAATCTAATGTGAAAGTTTCCAGCAAACTCTACTTACATTACTATTTGACAATTTCTTTCCCATAAGCAATAAGATCTATAAACAAATAATACTTTTTTCCTAAAGAAAACATTTCAATCATTTATGTCATTCTATAGCAAGGTTAAGATCCCACAGGCATGTTCTGTTCCGTGGATCAATCAGTTCCAAACCAAAGTAGACATGTTGTCGACTCCAGTGCCTGGAAATCCTGCTGCAGGCTCACCAGATGATGAAAACTGAGGTACGCAGTGTATGGGGGCCCCACATGGCATTCAGTAGCTTCTGGGCATGTCAAACTTCAGAACTACCCTACGGTCAATGACAGCAAACACCTTCCCTGTTCTTGCCTCCAAACATACACTTGCTTCTCTACCCTCCCTCCAAATCACGGGCAGTCTTCCAAAAACAAAGCCCCAAACAGAAGCAACCTCCCTTGACTACACAACAGAAATCACAGTTGTCTTTTTGCTGGATTTCATTTCATGTAGGCGATGTTCCAGACTTATTTACAACCACAAGAGACTGTTACCTCTTCTTGTTTAATGAAATGACAAAACAACAGATTTGCATATGCAAAAGCAGGTGCTGTAACAGGTTTGACTACTCTTGACCTAAAGCATGTAAAAGAGATTTATTTGCAACAGCTGTCTCAAAGGTATTGGTGCTCTGATGGGCAAACACTCTACCATCTGTAGAAGTATGTGCTCAAAATGACAATCTGAATTCAAAACTGATCAATAGATCTTCCCTCATCTTTATCCATATGTTGAAATATTAAGATGTGTACATAATAGACTATTTTACCTATCAGTCACAGATAAGAAAACTAAAATTAGAATGTTGACATGTAAAAATTATGTATTCAATAGATAATGTCGGAACAATTTGTTTCATCATTGTGCCACACATACTGTAAGATACCAGATACTGTATTTTAATTATACTATTATTTTATATAGTAAGTCTTCATAGTATTAATAATCCTACTTGCTGGGATAATGGCCAAAATAACTACTTTCTTAGATTTCTGCTACTTTATATTCCTTAACTATTTTTACATTCGAGCTGTAGTTTTAGATCTTGAAGATAATGAAATCGCGTGCACTAGTTTCTTAGTCTCTCTTACTTTTAGTTTCAATTTAGACAGGTACATTTTTCCACTGAGATTACTATTTTCTTTTAGATAAGAGGCTACTTTTTCCCTTCCACACTAAAGTCTGAACATAACCTCTCACTGAATGGAATGACTTGTTTTTGTGTTATATTTGCAGAAGGTAGCACCATATGCCCCAAGCTCCAAGTTGGATGCTCTTTCTATGGTCTAACTTGCTTGTCAAAAGATGTTACAATCACAAACCTACAATGTTTAGATAAACTTAGTATTGCATGAAATAAAACACAATTTTTCTCACTTTCTTAAAATGTAACAAATTGATCTCTAATAAATGCAAAAGGTTTGTAAAGTTCAAATAATGTCTGAATTATAAATAAAAGAACATGGCACCATATGATTGAACAAAGAAAATAACACACACACACAAATTCTCTCTCTCTTACATAAGTTTAAATAAATTCTCTATGATTAAGAACAAAAACCTTGTCTCCTTTTTGAAAAAACAGAAACAGTATGTAGTGTCCAATTTTCAAGCTGACCTAAAAATAATCAATGACTTCTTAAATAGAAGTTTCACAAAAATAGTCATTTTTATTTTTACGAAAATCATAATTCATTATGAAAATTTGAGTGAAATATAACTACTTATGCTAAATATTTCTGCAATTCAGCTGTATATCCTTGAAATTTTGTTTTAACCTCCAGGAAGATTAAAATTTTGCTAGCATAGTATTCCTTTGTTTGTTTAATTATGATTTTGCCTATTTGCTCATTCATGATGAGGAGATGGTATCTGACCATGGGAAGGGGGAAGGAAAGTCTATACCTGCAGACAACTGGTTTACATTTTTCCCGTTTCCCTTTTTGTTTAGTTACTTTAGCAAATAAGAATTAAAATACCATTTAGAGAAAAAAAATGGTATTCGGTGGCCATTTCTAACAACTGAGATGAGACATTATGACCCCTTCAAAGCTTTTCCAAATTTTTAAAAACTAAAATTATTTACTTAATAGGTTGTAACTGCCTTTTCTCAGCCACAGTAATCCATCATGTGAATAAATATTTAGACAGTATTTTAAATGTGTACAATGTACTTGAGGGAATGCCACAGTTCCAGGCTGTCATGTAAATACAATCTGATCAAAAACATTCTGCTTGTATAATAAAAGCCCTGCTAGAAACACATAGTTCAGCCAAAGAGAGAAAATTGATATCTAGGAAAACCACAACAGTGGAAAGTGACCACCAGTGACATAATTGCAATTTTAAGAAGTTTTGAAAGTTTTCTTTGGTAAAGTAGACATCATATAAAGAATATATATCTATTTTAAACAGCTATTAACATTTCTTAAAAATTTGTCATTTGTGAATAAAGATGATATATCCATTTAATAAACAACACAATGCAGCAAAAACAATAATAATAAAGTAGCACTGTATGTACTATCAGGGAACAATTTCCAGGGCTATTAAGTGAAAAGGCAGAATACATCAAAGAGTATATATTGTTACTATTTGTGGAAAAAATGTATATAAAGATACATTTATGTTTATATAAACATTGACTATTTCTAGAAACATACCAAGACACTGGTTTTAGTAATTTCTCCTTGAAAAGTGGAAATGGATAATGAAGGCAATGCTTCACAAACTTTTTAATGACAACACAACATAGAAACTGATATCAATTATAAAACTGCACATTAGGACAAATGGAGGGCTACCTTTCCCAGGCCCCACCCTGCTTTTGTTGCATGCTAAAAAGATAACTATCTCTTCATCCGGACCCTAAAATAATTGAGGCTCAGCAGGCTACAAGATACTATGTATTATCTACCTTTAAGAATTGAAGTAAAATCAAATAAGCCAAATTGACTAAATAAAGCTTATCGATAAAGATTAGAAACGTATTAATATATCTAGTCAATCTTCTTGCAGTTTAACATATTTAAAAATTAGCACTTGCTAGAAAATCTAAATGAACACTAAACGGTATTCATATAATCCCTCAATCTTTTTAATTTAAAGATGCTGCTGATAATAATGTAATTTTTACCATATACGTCAAGAGTCCTCAAACCAAATTTCCTGGCTCTATTTCACTACATGATGATGTGTTTTACCATGTCCTTAGTATTTCAAGAAATTAAAAGGAAAAAAATTCAACTCAACATGAGCGTACTAAAATTGAGTCTAATTTTATCCATGACACTGCTATATTTTACTTTTTACTTATTTTAACACATACTTACATAAAGCAATTAAGTCGAAGGTTTCACTTGTTAATTCAAGAAGCTCCAGCTGATGTTCATTTCTTTTTTATTTTGAAAGAAACTATTTTATTACTTTAATGAACACAGTTTGCTAGATAAAAAAAAAATGTTAAATGGGGGAATTAATAATAAAGTAACTCTTTGATGGTAATTAAAGGGCTAGTGCTGCTGATGTTAATCTGACCTCAGCAAATAGTGCAGGTGAGCTAGAAGGCACTTTTTGTAAAGAAAATAAGATTTATTTCTACCTCTCACAAGGTCATTCTGGTTTGTTTTCATAGTGAAACCATGTAACAGCTTTTTTATTAGTTTATATGGAAAACTTATGCTAATAATCACATATTACATATTGGGCAATTATTTATAATAATTATGTCAAATGATGGAGGTATTCCAAGGAGAAAAGAAGTCAAGACCACTGTTCACAAGTAACTGGTAAAAGAGTAGGACTCAAACAAACCAACCAACCCAGGAGAAAAAGTTCTACATGGCTAGAAAAAAAAATTGAACACTTTTTCCAATAAGAAAAATGTCTGATGTTCCATGAAAAAAGGCACAGAATTCAGTGACATTAGGATATTTAAAGAGTTCTTAATACTGACTCCTGCTCTGTCTCCAGTGCTTAATCATTCAAAAATATTTGCATGTGCACCATATTCCAGAGGCTATGTTCCGCACTAACAATTCAATGATTTAGCCAGCCATAAGCTGTATAAAAGCAGAAGTAAGGGTAGGGACGGAGAACACTTGATGTCAAATATTAACTACATGGAAAGAGGAACTGGAGAAACTACAGGCATATGGATGAATAAAAAGTAGTAATCCAAACAAGGATGAAAACCTGAACTAGAACAGTAGAAACGGAGATGAAGCAAAGAAGACAGATGTGGCATATTTATAAATTAGTGTCCATTTCACTTTGTGATTGATGAAGAAAAAGGAACATAAGAGGGAAAATTGAAAATGACTTCCAGGTTTTCTGGCTTCATTATATGTGATTGATAGCCATGTCTTTCAACAACATAGTGAATATACAGGAAAGCAGTTTGCTTGACTTCATTCTTATCTTACTTCTCTTTTATTTCAAACTATACTTCCTGGGCAAGCTTCTCAAGAGAGCAAGTATCTAATGGAAAAAGTCTTCCTCTGCACCAACTAATGCAAAATTAACCTTGCCTTAGTTGCAAAATTATTAATACGAGCATTTGGGCATCTAAATATGTGAGTGGGAAAAGACTGAAAGGTACAGATTTCAGGTGGAGAGGATAAGTGAACGTTGCCTACAAAGAACAAAAGAGAACAGCCAAACGTTGGAAAAATACCAGTAAGAGTATTACAGAAATTAAGGAAAAAGAAAGTTTTTAGAAAGAAAAAATAAATCATGTTACATGTTGCAGAGTAAAGCAAATTTACCAATATTTTAACCTCAAAAAAAGGACCTGGATGAGAAGACTCAATAGAGTTTAGTTCTTTCTAAATTAAATCATAAACTCAATGTAACTCCCTTCAAACTTCTGATGAGATTCTTCCCCCAATCCCCGCAATTCACACAATTACTTAAAAGATCTACATCGGTGGGGCTTTGCCCTAAGAGATAAAGTGTATTATCAAGCTGTGAGTATTTATGTGTGGTTAATGCCCAGGCTCAATGATGCTAATAGTCTTGGCCTCTCTGTGCAGTTGAATGGCTTGTAGAATAACACAGTGTGGCCACTTGAACCCCTTATTTCCATCCTAGGAGAAAAAAGAAGAGCTTCCAGAAGTGATACTGATTAACTACATGTTATGGTACCTACTGTGTGGCAAGGCTCAACCATATAAACAGCTTTGAGAATTCTATCCTCCTTTCTCTCCTCCCCTTCCCAATCTGGGTTTCCACTGCTCCCAAATACTCAAGGTGGGAGTTATTCCCATTGACTTATTTACTCTTAAGATGCAGGCAGAAAAGCCAGGGATGAGGAGAGGCTAACTACTAATGAGATAAACTAGCTCATTTTTCTTTGGAAGATATGTTTTAAATTAAATTATTTTTCTTTTTTGGCTTTATAGACTAGTATCAAATGATCATTTCATTGGCAATACCCTTTGAGCAAAAAAAATATACTATTTATCATACAAATATAAACATGGACTTGTGGCAGACACAACAGGGTTTGGAGGAGCCTTTTGGTGCATGCAGTCTGGGTATACCCAGCCTAAGCTTGCTTCTCTGGGGGTGATGGTTGCTCAGAGGATCAAGGGTACTTTGTCTGCACCATGTCTGCTTTAAAATAAAAGCCTTGTTTTCTATTTCACTACATCATGGCACTAATGTGTCTCCTGCCCTCTGCACGAAACCATATCACACTACAAAATATAACTGTGTTTACACCTGCAGAAGAGAAATTCTGGGGACAGCCAAATAAAAAAAGTAACTGTTATCAACATACAAAAGGCTGTCAAAAAGGGAACTTCATAGCATTTTACAGTTTGCAAAATCCTATCATATAAATAATCTATTTGATCCCTATAACAACCCCATCTTATATATATGTAAAATGAATTAAATAACTTAACCAAGAATAAATTAACAAGTAGCTGATTTGTGATTGAAATCCAAATCTTCACATACCAAGTCTTATTCCATTTTCTCTATACTATTCTACCTAAGGAATATTTCATGTAATTTCTGAGTATTCAAGTAGGGACACTGACTTTTAAAGAACCACATTTTTGCTGGATTTGAGGGGTGTTGTAACTGCTAAGATTATTCATCTATACAACTGGTTACCACAACAAGTAACAATGAGTAGAAATGGTTAGGATGAAGCTAGGTAGGTGGCCATCTGTCAAGCTGGATGTTGGACTGGATGACCTTTAAGATCCTTTCCAATTCAGAGGTTTCATAACTGTAGGGTGATAATGATGCTGTTTCAGCCTGCTGCCAAGTAACATGTCTATTGTTTTTCCTGCCTGTCACACACAGCAATGGCAACAACAATTGTTTTCCTCCTATGCCATGACAAATTTATATCATAGTATCATATTAGCAATTAGCATTCCTGAAGTTTTTTACGTTTATAATGTTCAAATACATTCTAAAGATGCTGTCAAAATTTCATCTTAAAAGGTGTGAAAATAAAATTCTTCTGATGAATGACATGCCCTAAAGCAATATCCCTGATCTCTCTCCTTTCTTTTCTTTTCCAACTTCATCAATCGCATCCTCCTCAATCTACCATTGCCTGTACTGATTAACAGAGTGACTCATTCATTTATCCACTCACTAATTCTATAAACATTCATTGAATCTATGTGCAGAGCATTCTTCCAAGCTAAGAAAATAAAAGGTGAGGTTTAGAACCTTACTAGCGAACGGGGTCATATGTCAGGGAAATCAATTCAGGTCAATTCAACATGTATTATGCCTAGTGTTCCATTATTGGAACGCTAAGCATGTACGAGTTATTTATACGCTACTGCTCAAAGTCATTACCAAGGTCTAACTTTTCACACATGTAAAAATTCAAAAAATTGCAACCTCTGAAATTACAGCTAACAGTAAGTTTACATGGTATCTAGTTTAGATCCACCACCAAAGAGGGCTGAGTTGGTTTCTGAATCCAGCTAAACTGGCTAAGTCTTGAAGGTACAAGTTTCACTTTACCTTAATCTTTGGTTATAAAGCAAATGAAACCCACCACTCTACAGAAAGTACCCAGTGTCAGACATAAACACATATAGAATACAGATAGAAACATATACATATGTAAAGAATAATGTTTTGCTACTTTAAAATACTTTAATCAAGTCCTATGTCAAAAGATTTTGAATAAAAATGTAAATAATGTTTACACACAACTTCTAGAATTTCATTTTTCTATACAATAGGATAATTTAAAATAGAAATTTTTAAACAGTAAAATTTGCGAAAATCTCATCACTTTAACAACTTTATTGTCTCTCTATAGAATTGCATATATGTTCTCTGCAGTTATTACCCATTCTGTATTACTTAAATATGTGTTTTTTAGAAATTAAGCATTTTAGCCTTCTTCAGTAAAACTGTAGAAATGGCAAAGCTATAGTTGTGCACGCGCCTGTAATCCCAGCTACTCGGGAGGCTGAGGCAGGAGAATCAGTTGAACCCGGGAGGTGGAGGTTGCAGTGAGCCGAGATCACACCCTGCACTCCAGCTTGGGCAACAAAAGCAAAACTCCATCTCAAAAGGAAAGAAAAGAAAAGAAAAGAAAAGAAAAGAAAAGAAAAGAAAAGAAAAGAAAAGAAAAGAAAAGAAAAAATGGCAAAGCTACTATTTTAAAATAACTGCCCAATATTTAATTATTCAAAGTTATCTATTTCAGAATGTTTACTATTTGTTAAAATAAGATGTAAGGTCTAAAATGGAAGATTTATTGATCATTTACATAAAAAATTAAAAGCAGTGGACTACTGATCAATGTCTTAATTGTATCCTTTATTATTAGTCAGAAAGATAAACTTCAGTTTATAAAACAGTATTTTATTTGAGCTCTATGGGGGTAAGAGCACATATTATTATTATTCGTACTGTACAGAAGAAAAAATAAATTTAGAGGGCTTAATATGTCATGGAGAATAGGTGGTAGAATTGGTACTCAGTATCGAAACTCCATGTGACATTTTTAGTGCTCAATTCCCTGCTTTAATCTAATGCTGCCATCCCAGTAGTTCAAAGAATTTTAAGGAGACCAACTCATGTTTAAGAGTCCTTTTAGCAGCTCAGATTGCTCCAACAAGGCAACTAACAGAAGAGTCAATTTGAACATTAATAGCGTTCAGTGGATAATAAAAAGTGTTCTTTTCTTAATACTATCATCCTTTTGATAACACTCATTTTAAGAGCTCTGTTGTATCATGTTACTGTTGTACTCAAAATAAACAATAAATAACCTAATATTTTGCTGCCTGTTCATTGATCACTCTTTCCATGTAAAATATTTGGCTACATATAAGTATAAACATGTTCAGAACTCTGAACACTTCTGAACCAGCATGGCTCCCTCAGGTGAAAAATAATAATTTTAAGGGTCTTAGTTTAATAATTTACATAATATATCATAATTTAAACTCTATAGTTAATATTTTAATATGTCAGAAAATATTTTGGTATTTAAGAAAATAATACTCAACATGGTTAGAAGATCTACTATCAGAAAATTTGTGACAAACTGCTTGAGGTTTAAATACTTAGGAATTAAGAACTGAAGATGATGCTCATATTTACATATGTAAAATGAAAAAGTCATCCAATGTAATACTAACGACTATTAAAATTTAAATGTCACACAATCAGATAAGTAAAAGGTTTATCTGATTGCTCAAACTGCTTTACATTAGAGACAGTAAAAAGATGAGCAAAATAAACTATATAGTTTAATTTGTAAATATACTGTTTCAAACTGGTGAACTATATACCATAAACCACAAAGAAAATTAAATAAAAATACAGATACTCCTTGACCTACAATGGGTTTACATCCTGCTAAAGCCATCGTAATTTGAAGGTATCGTTGCTGAATACACCTAATCTACCGAAAATCATAGCTTAGCCTAGCCTACTTTTAACATGCTCAGACACTTAACATTAGCCTGCAGATGGGCAAAATCATCTAACCCTGAGTCTGTTTTATAATAAAGTGTTGAATATCTCAACTACTGCATTTGATCTTTGCACTGTGGGCAAAGATCAAAACTCAAAATCTGAAATTGGGCAGGTCTGCACCATCCTAAAATCAGAAAATTATAAGTCAAACCATCATAAGTCAGGGATGGTTTCATACCATCATGAAGTTGAAAATTATTAAGTAGAACCAGCATAAGTCAGGGACCAACTCTAAGATAGTTTGGTTTTCAAAGCAAAAAAAAAAAAGTAAACATTCAAATAATCATTTGTGGTACACGATGAATGCTGTTTTCAAATATTTCTGGTCCCTGCTTTTGGACACATGGTAGGATTATACTTTCCTTCTTTGAAATCATGTGAGGCTGAGTGAATTACTTTACCAATGGAATGTGAACAGAAGCTTTAGAAGCTAGCACTGTACATGATTCATTGTATTCTATTCCTGCTGTTAAAGTCATAATGGAAGTATATGTTAAAATGAAGCTTCTGACAACCTAGTTTTCTTAGTAATTACAATTAGCAGAGAAACCTAACAATCTGTATTGAAATTGTAACCTCAGGGAAAAATAAACTATTGTCATACCAATCCAAATAGACTGGGGGTGGGGGGGCATTGTTTGTTACTACAGAATAACCTATCCCATCCTAACTAATATGCTAATTTATATTCCATTTTTTAGGAGCAAGGGCAAATTATGAAAGAAAAACTCAATCTCAAGAGAATCTAATCATAGGCTTTATAACATGACTGTGATAAATTAGGCCTTTTAAAGTACAGTAGTACTAAAATGTATATTTCAAAATGGTAAAAAGCTTCTAAATGATTTCGGAGATACTGTGGGACACAGCTGATTTCTCCATACAAGTTGGAAGTAGGCTATTATTATTATTATTATTATTATTATTATTATTATTATTGAGACAGGGTCTTGCTCTGTCCCCCAGGCTGGAATGAAATGGCACAACCACAGCTCATGGCAGCCTTCACCTCCTGGGCTCAGGTGATTCTCCCACCGAAGCCACCTGAGTTGCTGGAACTACAGGTGCATGCCACCATGCCTGACTAATTTTTTATATCTTCTGTAGAGACAGGTTTCGTCATGTTGCCAAAAGTGGTCTTGAAACCCTGGACTCAATCGATCTTCTCACCTCAGCCTCCCAACATGTGGGAATTACAGGCATGAGCCACCATCCGTGGTCAGAAGTGGGCGTTAAATTTTTTTTTTCAAAATGCTGTGTTCTCAAAAATATCTCAGATTTATATTTAATCTTCTTTTTCCTTAATAGCATTATCTGCCTAATACTTCAGCCTATATATTAATAAATAGTTAATCCACATGGAGAAAGGAAGAGGAACATCATTTGCTGAGCACTGACCATATGCCAGAAAATAGGCAGAGTGCCTTGAGTTTAAGGTGAATATGATATGGCAAATGCCAACCAATTCCTTTTGAAGAGTTTAAGTCAATATAAATGGTATAATATAATATAAAATGTAAGCTCTTACTTTCCACACTTTTCTACTTAAAATGGACCTTCTGGAAATTATTCTAAATGTTCCTGAATACTTAGCATTTCATCTAGCCCCTCATTTCAAATTCATAGTTTATATATTTTTGAAGATCTAATTTTTTTTGGAATTTATAATATTAAGAAAATTGATATTTATCTACAAATAATAGTGCTTCTAAAATATTTGTGCTTCCTAAGCTTAAAACTGTAAACTCAAAATAGAAAAAAATCTAGCCAGGTGCAGTGGCTCACGCCTGTAATCCCAGCACTTTGGGAGGCCAAGGCGGGTGGATCACGAGGTCAGGAGTTCGAGATTAGCCTGGCCAATGTGATGAAACCCCTGTCTCTACTAAAAACACAAAAACTGGCTGGACGTGGTGGTGGGCACCTGTAATCCCAGCTACTCAGGAGGCTGAGGCAGGAGAATCGCTTGAAACCTGAAGACGGAGGTTGCAGTGAGCCGAGATCCTGCAATTGCACTCCAGCCTGGCGACAGAGCGAGACTCAGTCTAAAAAAAAAACAATCTAATTCTTTAAAACATTTCTAAAAATTGTTTAAAGATTACTGAGGCATAGCAGTGAGCAGCGGGGAAAGAACAGAACAAAAAGTCCAACCTGTACCTGACTATGAACCATCAATTGAGATTACTAAGAAATAACCCAAGTGTTTCCTTCTTTGCAAATTTTATTAAAATTCTGTAATTTAATCCACAGTAGAGTAGTCCGTTATTTTATACCTGTAGCCCATGGCATCCTAAGTAGGGATGTGCCATGCACTGGCAGGTAACTAGGCTGTTACAGTTAACATTCTAAATGCAGCCACTACTGCTGTGGTGGTGCCTCCAAACTTTATTCATGCCGCCACACACAAAGGAAGTGATGGTATTTGGAGAGCAACTTGGGTTACCTTGCAGCAGTGACAATTGACTAAAGGCTCTGGCTGCCCCAGGATTCTTTAGCACCCTGAGGGTGGAAGGGATCAGCATCCTGGCACATCTGTTAACTTACTGTGACTCATCAGCTTCACCATTCCGTTCATCCCCTTCAGACCAGCTAAGAATCTAATTTTTCACAAATACTTTATTAACATATATAAATTTCCTAAGTCACCAAATAGAGGAACTTTAGTTTGAGGTCCGTTTTGGGAAATCACACCTTTTCTTGAGAGGCTCTAGCAAGAGTTTCTTGTAATACTCTGTTTCTCTGTTGTTATATAAAGCATTTTACTTTTCACAGATTTCCACAATTAATGTGGCAAATCCTTTAATGATATTGGGGGAAATGCTTCTTTTCCATTTATGCTGCTTCCTGGGACTCGTGGGGAGCTCAATCATGTAATCCCTGGCATTCTCTCATTGCCTTATTGTCTCTTATCAGGGTAAGAAGAGTGACTTAGCTTACTGGTAAATATGGGCCTTTCTTTTCTTTCTCATTTTATTCAGAACTTAAGTGAGGAAGAAAGATGATTTATTGGGCCCCTGTAGAGACACTCTCCCACCATCATAATTAAATTATCCAATGGGAGTTGCCAACAGCAAGCTAAATTATTGGTTTAAGAAATCATAAAATTATCTGTTGTCTATATAATCCCAGCTTCAGCACAAATACTTTGCAAAGTCTTACACAAGTTGATGTAGGAACAAGGTACATCTGGTTGAAACATCCTTGTGTATCACAGAACAAAATGCTGAGGCTGACAAGTCACAGTAAGTAATAGGTGTGCCAGGATGCTGATCCCTTCCACCCTCAGGGTGGCTAAAGGAGCCTGGGGCAGCCAGCACCTTTAGTTGATTGCCACTGCTGCAAGTTAACCCAAGCTGTTCTCCAAATACCATCATTTCCTTTGTGTGTGGCGGCATGAGTAAAGTTTGGAGGCACCACCACAGAAGTAGTGGCTGCATTTAGAATGTTAACTGTAACAGCCTAGTTACCTGCCAGTGCATGGCACATCCCTACTTAGGATGCCATGGGCTACAGGTATAAAATAACAGACTACTCTACTGTGGATTAAATTACAGAATTTCAATAAAATTTGCAAAGAAACACTTGGGTTATTTTTCTGTGTCCCAAAGTAAACAACACCCTCACTAGGGGCCATCACTACTCACCATGTGGAAATTAAGAAACCGTGCACGTCAGGCTCCCTAAAGGTTCAAGCCAAGGGCAAATAATTCACCTCAATGGACAGAACACATTTTTTTCTAGGCAGATTATTTGTCTCTGCCTATTAGCATCACCTCTACTTGGATTGCAATTATGTAAATATAAAATAATTTTCACGAAAATAATAAAACTGAGCTCATTGTCAGTTGGGCTCTGGAAAATGAAGAAGTTGAGAACTAACTTTATACTATTTCTAGGTGGAAGAAAAGCACAACAAAAGTCTGCAGGATTGCACATTTTGATCTCTTTCTGCATACGTTGTCATACAATTTTTTTTTGAAACACAGTCGCACTTTGTCACCCAGGCTTGAGTGCAGTGGCGCGATCTCAGCTCACTGCAACCTCCACCTCTTGGGTTCAAGTGATTCTCCCACCTTAGCCTCCTGAGTAGCTGGGATTACAGGCGCCTGCCACCACGCTTGGCTAATTTTTTGTATTTTGGTAAAGATGGGGTTTCATCATGTTGCCCAGGCTGGTCTCAAACTCCTGAGCTCAGGCAATCCGCCCACCTCAACCTCCCAAAGTGCTAGGATTACAGGCATGAGCCACTGCACCCACCCAAGTTGTCATACAATCTTGATTTAATGTTTTTAGGCCTGTTACTGTGTCTGTTATTTGAGGATTAGAAAGCCAACAAAATTAAAATGCTGAAATAAAGGCAGGCTAACAACAACAACAAAAAGAGGAATACTTTTAAAAGCTACAATACAGTAGTAGCCTTTAAGATGTTAAATAATGATGTTAAAGATGTTAAATAATGATTATTCTGACTAAAGTATATTGGTGGAGAATATTTGACCAGTCACCAAAAATCTAGTGAGGTAGAGATTCCAGCATTCTGCAGAAAATTTGTAGAATATCTTAACTATTAAAGACTAAAAAAGTTAGGAAAATCAGCATAAAATCATTTACATATTACAATCTAAGGAAATAAACTTTCCAACCTCATGTAATGTAATATATATATAAAAGAAACCTTTTTTATTATGTTTTATACCCTATAGATCTGGGCAGAAGTTGAACCTGGTAAGAGGGGAACTGTTCCCTGCAACCTCCCCGAAAACAACTATTCTCTGAGTCCAAGAATAACTCGGTAAAGCCTAGCAGTTAAAACTACAGGCCCAGAGGATGGGTATTGCTACTTAAAGTTACTTAAACATTCATTTTTTTCCGCTCTAACATGAAAATAGTAATACCTACCAAAAAGTTGATTTTAAAAATAAGTAATTTAAGGCATATATTTTTTAAAGTACCTGGTCTATAGTATGCTCTGCATAGTGTTAGCTATTTTTGTTATTCAACATTATCATAAGTCCCTGCCCCCTGTAACCCCTGTTGTATATATATACAACATATACCCAATGTTAAATGTAAAACTACAACATATACCCAATGTTAGCCATGCTAAGCCTACTGATACAAGAAAAATGCTAAAATTAACTTTAAAAAAATTAACTGAAGTTCACACTTTGTTCGTATTTCCTTAGTTTTTACCTAATGTCCCTTTTTCTGTTCCAAGATACCATCCAGGATACCATGTTACATTTTGTCATTTTGTGTCCTTAGACTCCCCCTGGCTGTGACAGTTTCTCAAACTTTTTGATGACCTTGACAGTTTTGAGGAGTACTGGTCAGGTATTTTGTAAAATGTCCCTCAACTGAGATCTGTCTGATGTTTTTCTCATGATTAAAATAGGCTTGGCCGGGCATGGTGGCTCACGCCTGTAATCCCAGCACTTCGGAAGGATGAGGCAGGTGGATCATGAGGTCAGGAGTTCGAGACCAGTCTGGCCAACATAGTGAAACCCCATCTCTACAAAAAATACAAAAAATTAGCCGGGTGTGGTCTTATGCACCTGTAATCCCAGCTACTCGGGAGGCTGAGGCAGGAGAATCATGTGAACCCGGGAGGCAGAGGTTGCAGTGAGCCGAGATTGCGTCATTGCCCTCCAGCCCAGGCGACAGTGTGAGACTCTGTTTCAAAAAAAAAAAAAAAAGAATAGGCTTATAGAGTTGTTGTGGGGAGGAGGACCTCAGAGGATATATACTATGAACAGGATATATAACTGTTGCTGTTGACCTGGATTTGGCTGAAGAAGGTTTGTCAGGTTTCTCTGTTATAAAGTTACTCTTTTTCCCTCTTGACATACTGTATTCTCTGTACAGAAATTGCCATGCACAGCACACACTGAAGGAGTAGGGAGTTATGCTGTACCTCCTTGGGGGTTAAGTATCTACATAAATTATTTAGAATTCTTCTGTATAGGAAATTTGTCTATTCTATCTTATTTATTTATGTATTTAATATGGGCTCATGGGTATTTATTTTCCAAATTTTAAAAAAGCATTTCCTTATTTTCTGGCATTACAACTGCTTCACATCACACATTTCCTGCCCCAATCCTATAACCAGCCCTATTTCTCTAAGGATCCCTGTTTTTTTTCAAATTAGAGAATGGTGTTAGAAACCAAGATATGGCCACTACTAATGTCTGTTGCTTCTAGGCCCTCTCAGTTGGCAGGACAAGGAAATACATGTATGTATACTAACCCCTATATATACACCTATCTATAAACATTGCTGTATGTAATCATTTGTATTTATATTAAGCTAAAGTCTCCAAGTCTAATATATTATTGCATGGGCTTTTCTAGACTCTTCCTCTTACTTATCAGTAAACTCTAAGATAAACTTTTGATTAACATCTTGTCCCATTAAAACGTCATAAATAAATCATTTTTTTTAATGAAAACTTCTTGAACTGTTCCGTGTGAAACTGAACTTTTATAAACTGAACTTCAGCCAGAATATAACTTAAATAGAATTAAATTGAACTCAAAAAGCTTACAATGCTATGTGTCCTACAGTGATACCAAAAGCACTCATCAATTATTGGTTCTCCTGAGCACTCCATGAACACAAGTTTATTGAAAGTATGTCTCTCTACTCATCTAAAATTATGTAAACAAAAGATGTGTTTACTTCCTTATAGTACTGGTCACAAATATTTAAAAATGTATCCTCTGAGACATTAAACATGTAACCTCCAGAAACTAACTTCCTCTAAATTTGAATGTTACTTTAAAAGTCATTGACTTATAGACACACTTTACAATAATGAACCCAATACTTGTTAAATATTCCTTCAACTATATTATTCTCTCTTTCCTTATCTTTAAAACCTATCCATAATACCCTCTTTAGACAGACATATACTCACAACAAATGGGAAAATGTGTATCACATAATACACGGTTCAGTAGAAGAGTTCAAAATAATTCAAGCTGCTGTCATTTCATTAATTTTTAGAATAAACCATGATATATTTTGATGAAAGGCAAACTCATACAGCACATTAAGTTTTTCAAGAAATATTTTATTTCAAAACCAAGAATTTAAATTATATAAATGGAGTCTACATTCCTCAGCACTTTTAGCAAATATCAGTCAGCTGTTAGGATTGTTTAAGCCTGGGGCCATAAACAATCTTTAAGGAATCATAGTATCTGGGATTCACTGTGGAATAATATTGGCTTATTAGTATTGATGTTGTCATGTTAGAAAATAATGTCCAAAGATAAAATCTCTAGCTTCTCCTGTAGTAATAAAGTTATAGACAAGTTAGTCATGAATAATTCATTGTAACAGATTTGATTTTGCTATTTCTAGTATTACTTTCTTTCTTTTAAATGATCTTTTTTTTTTCTGAATGCTAGCTTAGACTCATTTATCTAAATGGCCTTACAATTCTTCAAAGACAAGCAGAAGCCCATTTTCTTCCAAAAGAAAAACTATATCCTCAAAAGACCATAGTCCATTTTTAGAAAGCAATAAGGATTTAATCTTGAAAACTTTTTATTAAATAAAACTTTTATTACAAACTATAATCTTTCACTATATAAATAAACTTTTACTATGCAAAGATAATCAAATTCTAGTTTACACCACACTACCACCTATTTCATACCCTGCCAAAGCAAAATTCTGAAAATCAAATTAATCAAAAGCCAAAAATTGAGACCATTTAAAGTTAATTGAAGCTGGCATATCCTAGGAGACAAAGTACAGCTCTCCAATGGGGTAAACCAAGGTTGATATAATCAGTATTGAGTAGAAGTTCTTCAGGAATAAAAAACACAGAAGAAGAAATAAATGTTATTGTTGTAGGATATTTTAGAGTAGAGGATAGAAGGAAGTATCAAGAATGCTATGTGTGTAATAGTTTGGTTGAGGTATAATGTCAAAGAAACATTAACCTATAGTAGCAAGAAGAGAATGTCAACAGACACATTCCAGCAAATCTTTCATATCCCAATTTCTTAAGCCTCCCCAGAATTGTGTTTTATCACTGATAGGTGTATCTTGTTTGGGCTTTATACTGAAGAAGAAAAAGCGGGGAAGGAACATTAGGTGTATACAAGACATTCAAACAAAACATGAAAAAAACATAATTACGTATAACATTTATTAAATACATACGGTAGTATACCTCTTCTCTAATTATCAGAATTATCTCCTTCAGGGTGAGAACTAGGAAGGAAATTCACATTTGCTTTACAAATATTACATGGGGAATGGCACAGCAAATCCATGAACACAGCCTTTATTTTATGGGTTAAGTAAATTAGATTTTGTAACTACAAATTTTTCAAAATCAGAAACAGATTTAATACATCATAGATTTCTCTTTGAGCTAATGCATAACACTACTTGGGTCACTGAACTTACTGCTTTATATATTTTAAACTTCAAAGCTAGTCTCAATTTATATTTACCAAAAAGCTACATGTTATTAGATCATCTATAAATTTTTCTTAACATATTTTTCATCTAAGCAAGTAAAATTTATTTTTATCTCTTAAGTCTACTTTTAGAAAATGAAAGTGTGAAAGAAGCTGAGCAGAAAGTGAATATATTCTAAAACCTACTGTTCATAACAAAGGAAAGAAATCCATACCACACCTTACACAGCCAACAGCAATGAAAATAGCACCTTTAGTTTGTTATTCTGGTTCCACTCAGATTTTCTTTGCCTTTTTAAAAAAATAAATTTTGCTTTTACCTACAAAATAGGTTTTAGTCTTAACTTGAAAAAAATGGCACTAAAAATCAGCAGCACTGCATTACAGTGCTTCTGTCATAAGTAAATTTTTCAGTTGCTCATTAAATTAGCAGTAAGATTATAAATAAAAAAATTTGATTCCAATGAAAACCAGTAAAATATGTTTCCATATTGCTAAAGGGATTAGAAATTGGTATAGCTTTTCCAGAAAGAAATTTGGCATGTGCCCTATGTCTTACTCCATAATTCTTCCTATATGAATATATCCTAATGAAATAGTCAAAAACTGGACAACGATATATGCACAAAATCTACTAATAATAGCTTTATTTATAACAGTGAAGAAAGGAAAGCAATCTGACATTATGGAGAGAAATAATTAACTGTGATACATATTTATACATGGTATGTGTTCATTTGATGGCCATTAAATGACACCATTTTATTTGTGATCAGAAAATGTTTACGGTAAGTTAAGCTAAAGCAACATTAAAAGGTATGGTATTGGATATAAGACTTTCAGAAGAGTAGTGTAGGAAGCTAGGTGGCACCTCTCACCCGAGGAGATGTCTATTATGCTGGTCACAAATAGCATTTCTTTTTTTTTTTTTTTTTGAGACGGAGTCTCGCTCTGTCGCCCAGGCTGGAGTGCAGTGGCGGGATCTCGGCTCACTGCAAGCTCCGCCTCCCGGGTTCACGCCATTCTCCTGCCTCAGCCTCCCAAGTAGCTGGGACTACAGGCGCCCGCCACTACGCCCGGCTAATTTTTTGTATTTTTAGTAGAGACGGGGTTTCACCGTTTTAGCCGGGATGGTCTTGATCTCCTGACCTCGTGATCCGCCCGCCTCGGCCTCCCAAAGTGCTGGGATTACAGGCGTACAAATAGCATTTCTTAAGATAGTTATTAAAAATCTGTGAAGATTCATTGAAAGCCATACAACAGAGAAAATTTTATTCAAAAAATCCATGAAAATTCAGTAAGAACAGTGGGATACTGTGGCATTATAGCAAGGGACTACACTCATGCCCCACAGCTCTGTCTCTAAATATCCTCCTTCCTTTCTCTCTTGAACCCCCTCTGAGATATTCACCAATTCACCAACAGTTGTACCAAAAGAGCTAAGGTGAAGATCACTAATGATCTTAATGTTACTAAATTTAAAAGTAAAATTTCGGTCCCCATTTTACTTTACCTATTAGCATTATTTTGTGGGAACTGATCATGTTTTCCTCCTTATACTGCTTTCTTCATATGACTTCCAGGATACCACACTTCTCAAGTTCTCCTCATACCTCACTTGCCATATTTCTCAATCTCCTCTACTGGCTGTCTTAGTCTGTTTTGTGTTGCTATTAAAGAATACCTGGGACTGGGTCATTTAAAGATTTATTTAGCTCATGGTTCTGCAGGCTAAGTTCAAGGACATGGCCCTAGCTCCTGGCAAGGTCTTTCATGCTGTGTCACAACATACTGGAGAAGTCAAAGCAGATGTAGCCATCTACAAAGAGAGGAAGACCTGAAGGATGTCCTGGCTTTATAACTAACTCTTGAAAGAAATAATCCATTTCCTCAAGAAATAATACAGTATCATGAGAGAGAGAACTAACTCACTCCAGAAAACACAGCACCAAGCCATTTATGAATGGTCCAACCCAATAACACAAACACTTCCCACTAGATCCCACCTCCCAACACCCAACACCTCTACATAGGGGATCAACTTTCAATTATGAGTTTTCGTGGGGACAAACAGTATCCAAACCATAGGACTGGTTCTTCCTTATTTACTCAAAATATCAACAGTGGAACGCCCCAGGGCTCAGTCCTTGGACTGTTTCTTTCTAGGAACCCACCTTTGGTGATCTCATCTAGCCTCGTAATTTCTAGTAACGCCTATATGCTAACTTACAAATTTTTATCTTCAACTCACATCTCTGCTCAAAATTCTAGATTCTTATATCCAATTGTCTACTTAGTATCTATAATTAGATCCCTAACTGATCTCTCCAACATGTACAAAATTGAATTTCTGAATGTTTCTCACAATAAACCTGTTCTCTCTATGGTCTTACCCATCTCAGAAAAAGGAAGTATTATCCTGCCAGTTTTCAGTTCAAAACCCCTAAGTCCTCCTTACCTCCTCGTTTTGTCTCACATACTACACTTAATCTGTTAAGGAATCATATTGGCTGAAGCTTCAAAATGTACACACAATTTGATCACCTCTCATAACCTTCATTACTATTACTACTCTTGTTTAAGTTATCTTCATCTGCTATTTGGATTCTTGCAATAAATCCTAACCGGTTTCGTCCCTGTTTCCTTCCCTGCCTTCATCCCTACCTCTGGTGCAGACTATTTTCAATACAACAGCCAGAGTGATTATATGAAAAGATAAATCATAATGTGATACTCATCTACTCAAAACCCTCCAGTGGCCTAGAATAATCCAAAAGGCCCTATGCTCTCTATCCCTGAATCCTCAATTCTATCTCCTACTACTCTTTACCCTTGCTTATTCTATACCAGCTGTACTGGCCTGCTTGCAGTTGCTCAAAACTTGCTAAGGACACTTCTACTTCAATACTTGCCATTCCTTCTGCCTTAGCTTACTTTCCTTTCCTTCACTGATTTTAGATCTTTGCACAAGTATCACCTTTTCAGTGAGGGCTTCCTGGCCATTCCATCTAAAATTGCAAACCCCACCCCATCTCTCTCTCTCTCTCTCTCTCTCTCTCTCTCTCACACACACACACACACACACACACACACACACACACACACAATTTATCTTTTCTATTTTATTTTTCTCTATAGTACTTACTATGATCTTATATTCTTTATCTTTAACAGATTTATTTGTCAGTTTCCCCTCATGAGAACACAGACTGCAGAAGATAAGTGATTTTTTTATGTTTTGTTCTCTGCTGTATCTTCAATGCCTAGAATCATGAGAAGAAACACATGAATGAAAGACTAAGTTAATGGTGAAAGGTTCAAGGACATTTGCAAGTTTCTGGCTTGGGCAACTGAGTGGATGATGATGTGAAGACAAAGAATGAAGGGGAAAAAAGTAGAAAAAGAATTATGTTGTTTAAAAATCAGAATTATGTTGTTTAAACTAAAATAAGATAAAGTATCAGTTTAATACGATATTAGTTTATTAAAATGTAAACTTTATTGATTTTAATATGTTTTAGTAGGTAATTTTAAGGAAAGCAAGGATGAGTTTTGCCCATGGTAAATTATAATTTAATATTAGTTTAACAAAGCGTTTTTTTGCTTTTCCAAGAAGACATAACAATAAAGACTAACAACTACATAGTGACACTAACCAAGAAAACTGGCAAGTTTTATTTTAGAAAGTAATGAGCTTGCTTTCCATACATAAACAATGTGAAATATTTAATATGTCTTTTCACCTAGTCCTCATCCTTCAGGTATTAGATAATGCTAACATATGACCATGGAGATAGTTACAAAAAAAGACTAATATAACTACCCTATGTGAATGATTTCTTCACTGTGCAACTCATACAGCTTTGTACAAAGAATTTTCACAATTTCAGTCCTTTTTATGAGAATGTGTATGTGGATATTTAGTTTGAGGATCTCAAAACAGACAAATTTTTTATGTGCTACTATTTACAAGTAAACAGGGAAAAGTCCTCACTTCCATAATCAGCAATGGAATCTTGGCAATTCTTGTTTGAAACTACAGTTATCCTTTTTTTACACATTTCTCTTTTCATATGTTTTTCTTTTTTTTTTGCACATTCCTTGCAGCAGGCTCGACTAATGTAGTTATAATATTCTAGTGAAGTGAATGAGGTAAAAAAAATCACTAACATTGTCCCGGTAACCTTTTACAAAGAGGTCACTTAGATATTGTTTTTGAAGTATGTATGTGCATGTGTGCATGGGCATAAGGGGGCATGAGGAAGTTACAAAGAATTTCCATTTTTAGATGGTCAACAAAAATCAAGGTCCCCCCAATTTTACTCAGCATAATACTTGGTCTTAACAAAGTGTAATTTGTAGGGTACTGAAGCAAATGGACTCTTCCATACTGATGGAGATAATTAGAGTATAAGAGCTTCACAGATGAAAAATTCTAATACAGCCTTTTATCAAAAGCAGTCACTCTACCTCAGCCTGACAGTTAACAGCATATGATCTGGTAAACAAATACTTTCACACGGAACAAAAGTGCCATTAAAGGCCAAAACTGTCAACACAAATTCCATTCTTACAAGAGAAAAAATACGTAAACTGTTGATCACCTCTGGTTGTCTTAACTAGCATGGAGGTTGTCATGGAAACATTTCTGCGAAGTTCACAGTGATGAAACACAAACACTTCCAGTTTAATTGCTATTAGGTTTAGCATACCAGAGTTTATTTATACTCAGTGAGCATTATGATAAAATGTAGTAGAAATAAAGCTTATAATGATCTGGCATAACAATGCCAACATTTCCTTTTCAAAAATTAAATGAAAATGAAATTCAATAGCAGTTTACGATTTTTCCCAGAAAAATAAATTCCCAATTTTCTCAAATACCTATTCTGATGCCTTTGCATATATTTTCTGTAGTACCTGATTTATGAAAATATTTTAATATTTTTACTTCTACAGTATGTGATTTACAAAAATGCCTACTTCACACACTAAAAGTTAAACCCATAAATATATTAAAAGTCCCAGATGACTAGAATTTAAATGTTCTAAGTTACATTTTCATATCAATATTATGCAATAATTAACACTTAACTAGGAATTTTGTTTCATTTTATAGTGAAGAAATACTAGCAATAGTTTGCCTAGAAACTTTCTTTTTCCTAATTCTGTTTCCTCAATCATAAACGAAAAGAAAACCTACACAAATAATGAGGAAAATGAACACTTTAGGCACATGTACAAAATAGCACACTCATGGAATCTAATTACATAATTGTGTCAATTTTTTAATAGAAAATCTTTCTGGTATGTTCTAGAGTGAGATTTTTATTTTCCTTTTTGGTCGCTGAGGCTGCAGTGCAGTGGCGGGATCTCTGCTTGCTACAACCTCTGCCTCCCAGGCTCAAGTCATCCTCCCAACTTAGTCTCCTGCGTAGCTGGGGCTACAGGTACATGCCACCACGCCTAGCTAATTTTATTTTATTTTTATTTTTTGGTAGAGATGGGGTTTCACCACATTACCTAGGCTAGTCTTGAACTCCTGGGCTCAAGCAATCCTCCCACCTTTGTCTCCCAATGTGCTGGGATTACAGGCATGAGCCACCACACCCAGGCAGACTTTTTAAAAGTTTAAACAATGTGCCTGTTTTTCCCATCAAGAAAAGTTTTCAGGTTTTATTTTGTGATGTTTTAGTGACATCTAAAAAATATACTTCAAACTAAAAAATAATTTTTCAAAGTTTTTATTAAATCTCTACCTTTGCATATCTTTTCTGTAGTACCTGATTTATGAAAATATTTTAATATTTTTATTTCTACAGTATGTGAATCAGGTAGTTTCTGCCTTGGCAGGCTTAAATTTTACTTAATGACAGAACAGTGAAGGTATATAAAGCAATCACACAACAACAAAAAGCAAAACAGGGTTAATTTATAAAGTTCGGCCAACACCATAGTGCTAAACAATAGTAAAAAGGAGTACACGAATATAAGCTTCCAAGCTTTCCAGAAAAAGTAAGATGACATCCCTTGGAGCAACACATCTTCAAATTAAAGGATAGTTACTTGAACTCCAAAAACACACATTTAAGTAGTAAAAGTGCATTTTTATTTTATTTTATAAAAACACATTTTTTTTTTAGTCTCAAGTTACTAAGCAGTCCAAATAAGACCTGCTATATGGCATTGACCCATGGTTGCACAGTGGCTAACAGACTATTTGCACTATCACTGTAATATCCAGTAACCAATGTGTGTGATTATGGAAAGGATGCACAAACAAGTTGATACAAATTGTGTTTCCAGGTCTCAACAAATGGCAAGACAAACATGCAAGATAGTAATATTAAGGTTGAGTTCACTAAAACACAGAACTTGCAGTTAAAATCCTTGAATTTCATTCTGGGGTCTGCCAAATATATATGTGAACTTTGGCAAGTCACTTATTTGTGTAAGGCTCAATTAAAAATGCTGGGATGTGTTATTCCTAAGGTATCGTCTTGCTCTATAATCTAACATACTGTATGTCCTACTTTCTCTTCACTTTCCTGAATGGAAAGGACAAATGCAATAAATGAGAGAGGAGGATGTAGTATCACCAACATAACCAAGTCAAGAAGAAAAGGTTCTGGCAGCCAGATATCCAAGGTATTGCAGCCAAAGGAAGCACAGAGAGTGTTTTTTATGTCCTAATAAGAAATAGAGAGGATGAAAAGGGAAATAAGGCTAAAGTTGCTATGAAGAAGAAAGTCATTTCAGAATACTAGAGAGTCTTTAAAATATTATGATGCTGTATTTGGTTGTTTAAAAATTCTGGTTTCCCCAGAAGACTTTTAACTGGGTTTTCATAATCAATTAGCATTTATTAAATGCTTAATTTTATGAAGTGCTATACAAAAAGATTTACATAGTCGTTGTCCTTGAGTCCCTGGGGCATTTTTAATCTAGGCCAAACACTAAAATGGACATGTTCAGGACCATAAAGATAAGAGACTAAATATATTTAATCATAAAATTACTTTAAAATGCAATTTTTGGAGCGTTTTGATCCCAGACTAGTGAGTTATTTGAGGGAAAAAATAAACTTTCAGAACTAAATAGAAGAATAAAGTTTTTAAATAAATTTAGTAATACAATACTTACACTGAAAAATGTAAGAAAGGCCAACTCCAAGAATCTGTTTCATAAACAATAGATGGGTCATTTTTGGCAAAAAAAAAAAAAAGAAATTTAAAAAGGGACTATTCAGTAGCTCTGTATATTAGGGTAAGAGTTGGTGACCTGAAGTCAATTTCACTGCTGTATTTCATTCATTCTTCAGGGTAACAACGGGCCATGATCAAGCACAGATGATTATGGTAACTAAGTGAGAGAAATGTATCCATTAAGAGTTGCAGAAAATTCCTTCGGTTTGTTTGCACATTAAAACCAAGGTCTTTTACAGCTTATGATTGTGAAACAGAAACAACTGTAGAAATATCCTTAAATTTTAACAGGTATTAAGGAGTAAAATAAAGTAAAAGAGTTTACCACATGCAGATCTCTGATCATTATTCAAACCAGTTCAATCATTAGCCTGTGGCCTATCCCTAACATTCCAATATATGCAGATAACTATGTCATGAACTATTGGTTTTCATTTCTGAAACCAGCTAGAAAATTTATATCATTACTATTTTGAAAATCACATTTAACAAGACATATGTTCATTTTACTTACACATTTCTTTATTTCTATTCTTTTTAATCTCCTAGTACTGTCTACAAACGTATAGCTAGTGTAATACATTAAATAAGGAATATTCTGGGAGAAGAAAAGAGGAAAGGAAAAGTGGAAGAAGCTGTGACTTTACATTCTTTTTAAATCATAGTAAAGTTACAATAATTACACAGTCACAGAACACATCAAGCACAACATCTACTGATCTCTATGCAGTTTATGAAAGCAAAGAACATTTTAGATAAAATTCATGAATTCAAAAAGTCTGTTCTTCTTTTCATGTTTCTACCTTGTTGGCAAACTCTTCTACTTCATCAATCTAATACCTTCTTCGTCTCTTTACATTCTGTATAGATTATAAAAGAAAAAGATGTGATATCATTTTACTTGTTCACTGACAAGTAAAATTAACATTGATGAGTTACACCTTTCTGAATTCTAAGTCTTTTATCTATCGTAATAGAATAGGCCTATGCACCCAAAAGAAATTTTAGGCATTGTGGTAGACAGACCATAAGGTAGCCTCCAGTGATCTCCACTTCCTGGGTATCTGTGCCCTTATATAATCTTTTCCCCTTGACCATGGCAAGGACCTGTGACTTGCTTCTAATAAACAAGATCCATTGAGGGTGATGAGATGTTACTACCATGATTGTTACATAAGAGTGTAGCTCCCATCTTGCTAGCAGATTCTATTGACTCTCTTGTTGACTTTGATAGAGTAGGCTTTCATATTCAGTCCCATGTGGCAATAAACGGGGACTTATCCAACAACCAGCAAGGAACAAAGGCCCTCAGTCCAATAACCCACAAGGAAATGGATCCAGCCAACAACGACGTGAGATTGGAATGAAACAGGTCTTTTCCCAGTTGAGCATTCAGATGAGACTTCAGCACTCACTGACACCTTGATTGCAGCTTGTAACTGACACTGAGGCTGAGGTCCTAGCCATGCCATATCCAGATTCCTGAACCCCAAAAACTATGAGATAATAAAGTTTGCAGTAGTTTGTTATGCCACAATAGATAACTAATAAGTGCATCAGCCAAAAGAAAAGAAAAAGTGAAGGGAATCAGAGAGAGAGAATTGGGAGAATCTAAAAGACATAGGTCTAAACCCGAGGGTTATTTTGGTTTAATCATTTCAAGATGACACAGGTAGGAATATATGATCTATGCCTTCCTTCACATAGGTTCCTACTCATTCATACAAATCTAAGCCAAGCCAGTTACTGACTGAATAATATACAGCTTGCAAAGTCCTGAATTTAAGGGTTTTCACTGCAAGATTATGTATGTCCTTTTATGACCAGGTTCTGCTGAAATTTATGATTATTTCACTTTGCATATACCCACATGTCACTATAAGAACTTGTCAGGTTACTATACTATTTAATAATGACTGCAAATAGCTTTAGTTGATAAACCCAACATCTAAGTCAAAATAAGATTCTAATAGCATAAATTAAAGGAGGAGCTATTTTGCAAGCCCTTCTATTTTTTCATATTTCATGAAAATGAAAGTATTTAGAAGGGTACATGCTAATCCCACTGTAACTATACATTGACACATACACACACATACATACTGACACATACATATGCATACATAAGTTCATACTGAGATTATGTATGCTACTATAGTTTTGAATGTTTATATAAATAAACCTAGTAGGCATCTATACATTATTCAAAGCTCAAGTCAAGTGCCATCTACACCATAATTTTTTTCCTGAAGCCCAAATTAGAATAGAATATCCCTACAGGCTGCTGGTTATCTATTTAGCACTTAATTCACTTGGTCTTGCATTTTAATTATCTATTTACACATCTGTTTATCCCACTATATTTTAAGCTTCTTGACAATATTACTATGTCCTCATCTTCAAGTTACCCTAAGACCTAGCATACTACCTTCCTCACTTGCAGTAGGTTCTTAAATGAATCCATATGAAATGCAACTGAACTGTTATTTCATCTTACATTAATTTCACTAAACTAAGGTAACATTCTTATTAGAACTGAATGTCTTTTGATATGACATCCATAGTACATCTAAATGGGTGCTCTATGCAGTAAGAACAACAATGTGATCACTGTAGGCATGTGCACAAATTGGTACATTATCAATCTGAAACTGAGAGAGGGAATCCCTCTACTGATGCCCTTCTCTAAAATTAAAAAGTGGTTCAACTTGGTGTGGGAGAGCAGGCTAGCGGGAAGGAAGGGCAGAAGTCATGATTCACTGAACATCAGGGATCCAAGCTATGGTGAAGCTTTGTACTCTACAGCAACATCAGATATCACAGAGAGAACTTCTGAAAGATTAGTCTTCTGAGGGGATTTTTAAGATCTCTGAGTTCCCTTTCCAAAATCATTATTTATTCCCTCCTGAAAACTTCTATGCTGGGAAACACAGATTCAGTTGTTACCACTGTAGATTAGCATTTAGGAACCATATTAACGTGAGGCTTAATACAAGTCCAAAAGAGAAGATTCACACTCCACTTAAGTATATAGCTATTTAAAGGGATGGAATAATATTTGTCTAGTCATTAACTTGCTATTCATTCTGAATAATAACTAGGAAAAACTACGTCCTTTTTCTCTTTAAAATACTGAATGGATTAAACAATCTTTAACTATTGACTATATAATAGGATGCTGATAGGACAGTCATTCATTCATTCATCCACTCATTTTAAACTTTTAGTCAAACTTTCATCTAGTGCTAGACATAAGATGATCATAAGATGATGTGACAGGTGGTTAAAAAATAAAATAAAATCCTGGGGCATACAAGTTTAGTGACACAAATTCACAAACTAGCCAAAGGCTGAGTCTGTAATTCCATGATGGAAGTCGGTAGTGGTTATTTGCACAGAATTAGGGATTAGACCTGGGTTTGAGTTCTGCTTTTGCTGCTTTCTAGCTGTGCATTGCTGGAAGAGTTAATTTAATGCTTATATTCTTGTTTCCTTGTCCTTAAAAATCAGTAAAACGTATGCCTCACAGAGTTGCAGTGAGGATTAGAGTAATCATGAATTGTAGCAATTATCACAGGTGTCTTACACACATTCAGCACACAACATTTAGATGACATAATGATGTAGATAAAGGAGGAGGGATAAGGAATGGAGGGAATGGAGAAAGGGGTAAGGTGGAGAAAACAGAGGTGGTGGCAGAGGTGAGAGGGGGTTGGGAAGAGGAAAGAGGATGAGGATGAGAAGAAAATGTATACTATTTAGATGTTGCATTTAATAAGCCAACCATATTCTTAGCTCACTGCCTCTTAAATGTACCACACTTGATCTTGGACAAAAATAGATAAAACATAATGCCTGAGCACAAATACGTAAAAGTTTATTGGAAAGCAGATCTATAACAACAGATTATGTCATGTGTTAATCAGTCTTTTGTGAGCACCATTGGATCCAAAGAGCCAATACATTTCCAGATAGTACAAGAAATACCAGGAACTGTGGGCATCAACCTCCCAAAAAAGAATTTGAATTTTAAAACTAAATTATAGAATGATTGTAACCAATATTTGAACCTCATAATTAAAATAAACATCCATTGTTTTTTACATGCTGGTTATTATAACTTTTCAAATCTGGAGATTGGTATGAATAGCATTTAATATGAAAATGCCCCTAAATTTATTGAACATCCTAGTTATGCTTGTAAGTAGGAGTGAAAGAAGACAAACTGTGTTATGTGGTTTCCAGTATTCTTTGCCTC
Organism: Homo sapiens; assembly: GCF_000001405.40. NCBI lineage: Eukaryota > Metazoa > Chordata > Mammalia > Primates > Hominidae > Homo > Homo sapiens. The sequence continues at coordinate 114,124,184 of NC_000007.14, read as the reverse complement.
ATAAAACTACCTACTTCCTAGGGCCAAACAATATATCTCCAAATAACCATTTTGACTGTAGTTAGAGGATATATTTACATTATGCAAATTTTACAGGCAACAGAGAGAGAGAGAGGATAAAAATGGAAGAAAGAAACCCATAAAAGGAAAATCAAGTCAAAAATATTTTGATATATCAGATGCTAAGCCTGCAGGCTCTTTTGTAAATTCTTCCATAATTCCATAGAGAAGACGAGCATCAAGTTGTCAAAAGTTTTTTAATATATGTAAACTTCCGAGAAGCATGGATTCTGTCATAGCTTAACAAAATGTCAAAATTCTACTTAATAAGAAAATGCTGTGTATGGTAGAAAACCCAAATGCTTACTTTATAATGCTTTTAAAAATGTTTTACAAATATTTTGTACGTAAGAATAAACATAAGACCTTCACCAAATTTTTATATTACATACTGAATATTTTGTTTGTACACAAATCTGAAAGAAGTGACAAAGTTGTCCAACTACCATTTATAATGCATAAATATGTAATACATAACTAGTCAGAGAGAACCAGATTATGTTCAAACAAGTTACTGACACATTAGTAAACTACACTGTTAATCATCCCAGGATGATAAAAGATTTCTAATTAAAATATGCTATGTTAAATAAGTGCTAAATTTATTATAGTTGCCTTTTCCATATTGGTACTTTCATTACAATTTTGCTTTAAAAATCAATATTTTCATTACAATGTAATATATATAGTTGACCACACAAAAAGTGGCAAAACCTCAGAAATATGGTGGTTCTTGTTGCTTTTCTTTCTTTCTTTCTTTTTTTTTTTTTTTTGACAGGGCTTTGCTCTGTCACCCAGACTGGAGTGTGTTGACAAGATTATAGCTCACTGTAGCCTGGAACTCCTGGGTTCTAGGTGATCCTTCTGCCTCAGGCTCCCAAGAAGCTAGGACTAGGTAGGCAACACCATGCCTGACTAATGATTTTAAATTAATTTTGTAGAGACAGGGTCTCACTATGTTGCCCAGGCTGGTCTCAAACTCTTGGTCTCAAGCTATCCCCCTTTCTCAGCCTCCCCAAGTGCTGGGAATATAGGCATTAGCCACTATGAACAGTCCAAAAATATATTTTTATTATAAAATTTCCAGTGATCTGTTAATTTCTTAATTTGATTGCAAGCTATACTTCACCATGATTCAATACCAATCGTCAGCTGCAAAACAAGGCAGAATAAGAACAGGTAAATAAATCTGTGAAAAAAATGTATAAAGTTAAACACAATGTTGTTAATTATGCTTACCGGAAAAATCATATACAAGAAAAGTAATTTCTGTATCAAATTCATAAGTAATAAATCCCCTACCACTCCTTAAAAATTATGTGTATTCAAATGTTATGTATACTATAGCATACAAAAGGTCTTAGATCTACTAAGTTTTCATGTTGATCCATCAGCTTAGGAAATGTTTATAAAATTTTTTAAAATGCAGTGTAAACATTTCAGCCCTGAACCTTATTTCTATGCCTTTGAACCTTCTCTTTCATGTGCAATACCTGACAGCCCACAGAGAATAGCTGCTGAAAACCCCAAAGATGGGTAAAACAGAATTTCTGACTCAGGAAATAAAGATCAGCTGAACAGGATTCCCAAATGGCAATCCAGATCAATGGAAAAGCAAGACCAGAAATTTACAGTATCTATCCTACGCAGTACAACATGAAGGTTGTATTTCATTGCTGGCAACAAAACTCCCAGTGGCCAAAAAAAAAAGGAAAAAAAAAAAAAGAAAACAGGGAGCGATACAAAGATTGTAAATCCAGTAATGAGAAACTACATTTTATATTCAAATTTTTCTTTTAAGGGGACTTAAAAACTCTACTATATTTGGAATCAATAATATAGTAAATAATTTCTGCAAGTAAACAACTGCATTCTGTTCAAACAACTGAAGCATTCATGGGAGGTAGTTTCATATTTAAAGAAACTCCTTACATATTTCCAGCAATTGTCATCTTAGCAATGGCTTAAGTGTTTTATGCCAAGAAAAATAGTTATTTACTTCAAGTTTATGAAGAAAATCTCAAAATACACCTACTAGTAACAAAAACCCTTATAAAAAATTATAAAACAATGTAATGTGTGTAATTATAATGCTATCAAGTTCTGATGGACTCATTTAATCCATGCAGAACAGGAATTACCTCTACAGTACCCCTACCGAGGGGCAGTTATCAATATTTCAATGTTTCTTCAAATAGGTACTTACTACCTGATGGGACAATCTTTTCCCACAAGGAATATTTTTGATTATCAGCATCCATGTCTGAATAACATGTACCTATTTGGTCCTATTCTGACTACTGAGGCAGTGTAAAATAAATTCCCTGCTCTATTTAACTACTCTTTAAAACACTAAGCACAATTTAACCTCCCCATATCTCCTTAACTAAACAACTCAGGTCCTTAATCCCATTTTTCTTATGACATTGTTTCTCAATCTTTCAACACTATGGTCACCTCCAGATAAATTCTAGTTTCAGTTATGTGACATTCAGATCTGAATGCAGTCGTACAGACATGGTTTATTCACTTGATAACACCCTCCCCATGCTAATCTAATCACCATGTTTTTGTGAGTTTACATTAGAATTTTACAGTTCAAGATCCATATATCCACTGCCAACTAGGTATCTTCAATTAGATTTCCTATAGACTTCTCAGGCTTAAAATGTAAAAAACTGAATTTATCTTTTCCCTTTCTTTCTGTCTTTGTCAGTTTGGGCTGCGATAACAAAGTACCATAGACTGGTGGCTGAAAAACAACATACATTTACCCTGTTCTGGGGCTGGAAGTCTGAGATCAGGGGAACAGCCTGGCCCAGTTCTGATGAGGGCCTTCTTCAGTGCTACAGACGGCCATCTTCTCTTTGTATCCTCACATGGTGGAAAGAGAGTAAGACGGCTCTCTGTGGTACTTTTTCTAAGGGCACTCATCTCATTCACGAGGGCTCCATCCTCATGACTTAATTGCCTCCCAAAGACCCTATCTCCTCATTCTGTCACACTGGGGGTTAATATTTCAACATATAATTTTTGGAGGAACGTAAACATTCAGTCCATAATATTCTTATTTTTCCACTTCATCATACCCCAAATATGCTTCACCTCCTACTTTTCCTATATTGTACACAAGCTAGCAATGTTGAGAAATCTGCTGGTGTCCTGTATTCTTCCCCCTCCCTGTCATCCGACCATCAAATTGCATCAAATTTACTGCACAGTGTGAGTCCAGGCTCTAAGACAAACCACTGGACTTTAAATTCTTGCTATGCCCTTACCAGCTGTGTGGCCTTAAACAAGTAGCTGAACGTCTGTGACTCAGTTTCCTTTGTAAAATGTAAATTAAAATAACACTTTTCTCATATAACTGCGGTCAGGACTAAATTGGTTCATGTGTACATATATATACACACACACACACACACATACATATACACACACACACACACACACATACATATATGAAGTGCTTAGAAGAGTGATCAGCCCATAGTGAGTACAGAATGTTAACTATTATCATTGTCACCTCTTTTATATCTCTCAGAACTGCATTTTTATCACTCTCACCACCGCTTTCTAGTTCAAGTCCTTCATTTTGCTCACATGGATTACTGTGGCAGCTTCAAAACTGATCTCCCTGCCCCCTTTCTTACCATACTCTCGTTTTCAAAACTTTGATTTGATTATGCTAGCCACCAGTTTCAAATGCTTTCAAAGTTTACTACTATCCTTAAGATAAATGCCAGTGCTCTAAATAATCCAGAAATTTACTGGATTTGCCATAACGCCATACAAAACTCTTAAGTAATCCAGTAAATTTCTTTAGCCACACTTATCTCTCTTCTCCTAGCATGTGGTATGTGAGCCACACTGATTTATCCTGTCTGTTCTCCTAGCATGTGACTGATCTAGCCACATTGATCAACTTGAGTTTGCTCAAAACCAGACTCTGTGAATCTTTTTTTAAGTGAATTACTGTAATTAGCCACTCTGAGACTCTGCTGCTCATCCACCTACTTATCTCATCCTATCTATTACTATCCTCAAGTAGAAAAGAGCTAAATGATGAGATGTCAGAATATATAAATGTTTTCATGGGATTTTCTATACCTCTGCTTTAGCAATAAGAATATAGGTATGTACTATTCAAAGTAGGATTGGAAGATCAGCAGCATTAGTATTACCCAAGAGCTTGTAAGAAGTCTTATCAGGCTGCACACAGACCTACTGAATGAGAATTTCTGGGGGCAATACACAGGAATCTGTTTGTAACAAGTTCTGCAGGTGATTTTTAAGCATATCAATGTTTTAAAAGCTCCGATAAAGATGATTGGGTCTATAATTTACCAACTGTATTTTAAGATATTTAAGAATCAAAAATACTATTGATGAAAATATGAATTACTTTTGTTTTGAGACAAGGTCTTGCTGTGTGGTCCAGGCCAAAGTGCAGTGGTGCAATCATGGCTCATTACAGCTTCAACCTCTTGGGCTCAAGCAATCATCCTGCCTCAGCCTCCCGAGTAGTTGGAACCACAGGTACATACTACCTTGCCCAAATTTTTAATTTTTTTTAGGCTGGTCTCAAACTCCTGGGCTCAAGCAATCCTCCCACTTCGGCCTCCCAAAGTGCTAGGATTACAGCCTTGAGCCACCACACCTGGCCACAAATATGAATTGTAACTACAATAAGACTACAATCCTGGAAATAACTGATAGATAAATCTAAATCATTTATAATTAATAATCAAAATAATTGCATTTATACACCATGATCAGACAACCTAGCTGATACAATAACAAAACATTCTGCCAGAAAATATTGGTAATTCCAGCTGCCCGTTTTGTGAGCATGAGCAGTAGAAGCTCTTCAATACAGCAAGTATTTTGTCACTCTCCGGCTTCTGATAGAATATTAGAATACTCAGCAGACTCTGGTAATGAGCTGAATTTTGTTAATGGATGCTGTATTTTAATAATCCTTAATAACTAACTTAGGCTATTAGTAAGTAGTCATTAATTGTTCATGAAGGTTAAAACCTATGCATATTTTTTCACTCATGGGAATGAAAGAATGAACTTGTATTTGGGAATTAATTTAATTCCAAAATGGACTTTCTTTGTCCATCATAAGGTGGCCAACCACTTTGAGAATTGTGGCTCTAAAGAGCCAGAACAACCTTCATTTCCAACCTTTGTATATGAGTCAAACTGCCTGTTGAACAATTCAGGGTTCTCCTCTGGAAAGCCTCTCCTCTCTCCATCATCCACTCTTAAGTACTATTTCTTTCTCTGCCTTCCCCTAGCATTGTGTGCAAACCTCTGTAACTGTACTTATGAGAGAGTGAAATAATCTGTTCATAGATGTGTCTTCCACACTCTAAGGATCAGGTGACACATGGATCTTGGGGTCGCTGGCATCCAGCAAAATTACGTGGCACATAATCAGAAGTATTAAAATTTGAATCAATGAGTGTCATTCTGTTAGTTTAAATGAAGCCTGTAGCCAATTAAAAACTATAGGCTACATGAACTTCTACTAAACTTATACATGTATAAGAATTTTACATTCATCTCTATTAAATTTATTCCTATGAGTTTTTATCTATTCTAGCCTGTCAAGATCTTTTCAAAGCTTGACTCTGATTAGGTAAAAAAAAAAAAAGGGGGGTATCCAAAAAAAACCTCTAGGTTGATATATAACCCGTCATTTACTATACCTGTCTATTCTTAGCTTTATCACATACTTTTTCTATCTTCAGTAATTTTGAAAACGATTAATATTTCCCATTTTGAAAATCATGCTCTAATGAAGACAAATTTCACACAGAATAAGAAATTATGCATAAGGACAGTATGAGTGGCATAAATTCTCTATTAATTCATTCCTAATCTGGAATGAGAGCAGCTTCTATTAGAACTTCCCATTCTTTTTTTGCCATTATTGTTCATAAATGTTACAAAATATTCAACCACTGTGAACCCAATAAATAGTAACTGGAAATATGTACAGCTATGGTGGAAAGAAGACTCTACTGGGTGTAACAGACTTAATGTGACCCCTCAACATTCATATGTTAGAAGTCTAACCTCCAATGAGAAGGTATTAGATGGTAAGGCCTTTGAGTGGTAATTAGAATAAGATACGATCATAAGAGTGAAGCACTCATGAATGGGAATAGTGACCCTTATAAGAGTCACAAGAGAGCTTGCTTTCTGTGCTCTACTCTTCGCCATGTGAGGATACAATGAGAAGCCTTCAGTCTGCAAACCAGAAGAGGGGCCTCACCTGAACTCAATCATGCTGGCACTCTGATCTCTGACTTCCAGCAGAACTAAGAGAAATACATTTTTGTTGTTTATAAGCTATCTAGTTGATGGTAATTGGTTATGCCAGCCCAAGCTAAGACACTGGGGAATAAGAGATCCAGGTTTTAATCTCATCTGGACTAATAAACATTGCTTAAAATACCTTAATTTATCAAGGCTTTAATTTCCCAACTCTAAAACAGAAGTTTAAAGTAATTTAATGTTTAAGATCCCTCTCAATGGTAATAAATAAAGTACCTGTCCCACAAGGTGGCTATAAAGATCAAACAAAGTTTGATGGCATGGTGGCTCATGCCTGTAATCCCAGCACTTTGAGAGGCAAAGGCAAGTGAATCACTTGAGGTCAGGAGTTCAAAACCAGCCTGGCCAACGTGGCGAAACCCTGTCTCTACTGAAAATACAAAAACTAGCTGGGCGTGGTGGTGCACATCTGTAATCCCAGCTACTCGGGAGGCTAGGGCATGAGAATCACTTGAACCCAGGAAGCAGAGATTGCAGTGAGCTGAGATCACACCACTGCACTCCACCCTGGACAACAGAGTGAGACTCTGTTTCAAAAAAAAAAAAAAAGTAATGTAATGTATATAATATATATTCTAAATATTCCTAAAGCATTCATCATTACAATTCTATAATAAATAAAAGAATGTGGCATAATCTGCCTCCAGGTAGAGTCTACATTTACTAAATCAAAGTAAAATTTTTTCCCCTGAGGCTAAAAAATTATTTTCACCTGCCAAGCTTAAGGAAAGAGTTACTTGGATGCAGAATCTTTTGCTATAAGCTGCTAACATCTACTCTGGATATATGTATTAACTTTAAATTTTCTTTTTAAAAAAGAGCCTTTCCCAGAGTATGCAGATATTCCCCCAAAGGATTACCTTGGACTGGGTGGGACTTGAGATTCAGAGCAGGTAGTGTGGAAAGGCATAAGTACCCTTTGAAGAGCGGGAGACTGAAGGCCCAGGGCTTCAGGAGGGGATGGTTCTCTTATGAAGAGACCCTTCCTCACATCTCCTCTATTCACTTTTCTTCCACATTAATGTTTAATCATAATTACCAACCCATTTTACGTTTTTAATCCCATATAGTTTACTATTAACTTATTTCAATACTCTATTTCCTTATCTAACCTCCAGCTTTTATCTTTAAATGTCATATTGTTATTCTTTTAATTTTTGACTCTTATCCCTATTTTCTTGAATTGGAGTCAATCTTTATTTTCCTATTCTCATTTACAGCTGTCATTTTAAATGTCTTTATACCTATCACTTCAAATATCTTAAATGTTATCAAAATTTAAATTCAATTTCTAAATGTAATACAATTCTAATCTTCTTGAACTTCTTTCCCTTTTCACTTATTGATTCCATTTATTATTATTTTGTGCTTGTCTTTTTAATACCTAGCAAAAAACAAGTCTAGAAATGGGTTAAAAGTAAAGTAAGTCCTTATGAACCAGAAATTATGGCAGTTTTCTTACTTGCAACTGCCCCTTCTTCTGCCACTCTGGTTCCCAGATTCCCTAGCCCAATCCTGGAAGGCTCTCCAAAGAACCTTACTAGGGGATAGAGCTGACCCATAGGTTAATTCCCTCCTGTAGGACCATGAGGTTTATCCTGCAGTTGGCATCTGGAGTTGTTCCAACGGTGTCACTTGTTAACTGCTCACACTATCCAGGTTTTACATGAGCTACTCTGTCTATTTTAAAATTTGTAACTTCAAAATATATAACCAGTAGTCTTTGGGTAAAACCAAACAAAAAGCAAAAAAAATTCTATTTATGCCACAATTAGGGAAACATGCTACTAGAGGGGTTACAATCATGGAAGGCACTTTAAATTCATTCAGGAAAAAAGCAGAGATAAGTGAATAAATAAATTCATTCATTTATTCACTCATTTATTCAATAAATGCTTAATTCCTACCATACACCAGGTGCCATGCAAGTGCTGGGTTCAAACTGAGGCAAAACAAAAGTCCCTGCCTTTGAGGAGCTTATGGTTGAGTGGAGGCACAGAGACAGGTAAACGTTAATCAGCTCCTGCCATGATGAATGTGTCATTATGAACTTTACTGAAAGAACAGGGTGTTATGAGAACCCATAGCATAGATCTAGTTAGGTTAAAAAAGAGTTCCACGAGGAAGCTGCATCTGAATTGAGATGAGAGGGTTGAGTAGAGAAGAAAAGTGGGAAGATCAACAGCCAATATTCCTGGCAAAGAAAAAGCTCCAATAAGGGCTCTGAGACAAGAAAGAGGATGGCACAGTTGAAGGAAATGAACAGATGCCAGTGTGTTGAAGAGCAGAGAGCCAGGGGAAAGGAGACAGGGGAGAAGCCATGTACTGTACAACTCTGATCACTATGTTAAGGATTCTGGTCATTTCTCTAAAAGAAATGAAGAGTCATTATAACCACAGGGATAACATAAAAAGAACTGCTTTATAAACATCATTCTGCCTGCTGTGTTAGAGAACCTTCTGGAGAGGCAGGTTCCATGAAAAAGCCATTAATTCATTCAACAAATATGCATTAAGCACCTAAAATGTGCCTGCATTCTGGTAGGCACAGATACAGAAGAAAAAAAGAGATGAAATAGCAAAAGCCACATACCAGAAACATGCACTAAGACACAGTTTAGAAGACTACATCAGCAGGCAAAACCAGAGCTGAGAGGGCCTTAATCTGTGATGGCAAAGTTGGAAATGGAAAAAAGTAGACGGACTGAAGTTATAATTAGTAAGTTAAATTGACACTTAGTAGCCAATGATTCAAAACAAAAAAAAAATGCAACACACAAAATAAAACAACTGTTTAAGTAATGTTCTATTTTACACAAACGTTTTCAAATTTTCAATTGCTTAGAGAACACTGTTAACTTTCCTTGTTTCAGTTCTTCTTCCATGATTTCAGTCTCTCTATGTAGTTGCTGTTTTCAGTCTTGGATTATTTAATACAAGTCAAAATTTTAGGATGATATAACTTCAATATTTTCAGAAAGCCAGGCTCTGAAGTCCAACAACTATCACTATGAGGTTCATTCTGAGAGGTGAATATCAATAACTATAAGGCAAGGTGGAGCTATCATAGAGAAATACAATTCAACCTTCTTGAAAGAAAGCAATATTTTACATTCCAACCAAGAAAAATAAGAAAGAGTATCCAGGAAGAGTTGCTCAGTACACTGTTCAAAACATTCATCTATGGCACAATGGAGAAAAAAAACAAACAGAAATCTGCACTTGTTGTTTCAAAAGATTTAACTGAGACTCATATATCTTAGTCCGTCTCATAATCAAACTCACGGAGTTGTGCTTTGATGGTATATCTTTTAATTTCACAGGAAGAGACATAAGTGATGCTTCAGAAAATCTGTTGCTGGAACGTGGTCAAGGATCTAGCCCCTGTATCACTCATTATTCCCAAGTAAGATCCAACACAAGAAATCTTTTGTAGAATTTAGTCCAAAGAATATTTCCTTTCCTAAAGAATATTATATATATATTTATATATATGTGTGTGTGTGTATATACACATATATGTATATATGCGTATATATATATATATTCTTCTTTTTCAAAATGGACATTCTATAACTAATTACATTTTGTTTTAAATGCCAGTAATCACAAAGGCAAATTAGGAGCACTCTCTCTCTTTCATTCTGGTAGACATCTTTCCTCATTTTGACTTTCTATACTGAATCATGTTTTCCTTCATTTTTGTTTTATTTTATTTTCTACTTCATATTTCACTGGAGAGTTTTCCTATTATAATTCTCTTAAATTCTTTGTGGAATGAAACAAGGCATACATAAAATTCACATTGATGTAGTAGCATAGCTTCATTCTCCTCTCCTGTTGCTTTCTCTTAAATACAATTTTTCAACCCTTTCTCAAGTTATTTTAAAATTGGTAAAATTATTTACCCCAAAAATAATCATGTTGGGCTTTTAACTGTCACTGCTTTAAATATATAAAAATCTTTGCCAAGGCCAGGAGTGGTGGCCCACACCTTAACCCAGCACTTTGGGAGGTCAAGGCAGGAGGATCACTTGGGTCCAGGAGTGTGAGACCAGCCTAGACAACATAGCAAGACCCCATCTATAAAAAAATAATAATAAATATCCAGATATGGTAGTACACACCTGTTGTCCTGGGTACTCAGGAGGCTGAGGCAGGAGGATCACTTGTGCCAGGAGTTTGAGACCATCCTGGGCAACAAAGTGAGGCCGTCCCTACAAAAAATTTAAAAAATGGTAGCACACACCTGTAGTCCCATCTACTCAGGAGGCTGAGAATGGAGGACTGCCTGAGCACAGGAGTTCAAGGCTGCAGTGAGCTATAATGGCACAACTGCCCTCCAGCCTGAGTGACAGAGTGAGAACTCATCTCTAAAAATAGAAATAATGAATTAAAAAATTCCAAGTATAATTCATTTCTAATAAAATGTAGTGATTTTTGTTTAGGATTTGAGAAAGTCTTTGCTTCTTTTCTTCATGAGTTTATTTAATTGTGCTTTTCTCATAGTTCTCCTAGAGGTCTTTATACTCTATTTCACATTTGGTCTTTTTTTATTTCTTCTTTTTCTCCACAGTACCAATTTGATCATGTTCGTGAACACCAATTACCTACCTACATACATACTACTTTAGATAACTAAAGAGACTACAAATCATTTTGTCTTCTAAAGTGTTAATTCTTGTTCTTACAGCAATCTCTTTCACAGCTTTGTAATTCTTCCACCATCATGGTTCAATCTCTGATGAAGGATCAGTCAACATCCTAAAATTGCGCAATACACTCAAGACTCTGAAATTAATCTGAATTTTTTGTACTGTTTCCTTCTGTTTTTGTCACTCTTTATGAAGACAACCGGATGAAATGAACTCAATATAGACATGAGTAACTCATGTTCTCCCAGGCCACTTAAGGGTGAGGAAGAAAGAGCCAAATTAGTAACAATGAAAATGGCTAAATCTGCATACCCACAAGTTCTCTTAACTCCTTTCAAATGCCTCCCAGCTAAGTGAGGAAGTTCCAGAGGTTTCCCACCGGTGTTCCTTTAGGTATATTTCCAAGTTCCACTGGAGCCTCCCTATTCTCCTGCTCCTGACAATGAGCATTTGTATCCTCAAGCCATGTAGAAAACATTCTAGCAACAACCAGTACAAGCATTAGAAGTGCAGAAACCAGGCCAGGAACAGTGACTCACGCCTGTAATCCCAGCACTTTGGGAGGCCGAGGTGGGTGGATAGCTTTGAGCTCAGGGGCTTGAGACCAGCCTGGGCAACATGGTGAAACCCCATCTCTACAAAAAACACAAAAATTAGCCAGGCATTGGTGGCACATGTCTGTAGTCCCAGCTACTCAGGAGGCTGAGGCTGGAGAATTGCTTGAACCTAGGAGGCAGAAGGTTGCAGTGAGCTGAGATCACATCACTGCACTCTAGCCTGGGCCACAGAGTTTGACCCTTTCTCAAAAAAAAGAAAAAAAAAGTGCAGAAACCACATTCCCCTTTTTGGTACTGGTATTGTAACTTCCTACATCACTGATTCTCTGTTTCAGTGCCTGATATTTCCAGTATGTGAGCACTCCTCAGGTTTGTGTTTCAAGGTGATTTAAAAGGCACCTTATTGGAGTGGGCAAAAATCCCCTCTACTAGCATTTGTGGCACACTCTTGTACACTAGTGACAAAGTATAATTGCATTACGCCCATAAAGTCTTACAGGCAGTGGTTTTAGTACTGCTGCTATATTTGGTCCCTGTTCTTCCTAGGACTCTGCCACAAATTCTGCAGTGGAATAGTTAATAGTAGTCCATCAGAGCAGTTCACAACTTCTTCTGCTTGAATAAACACCCATTTTTCTCATGACAATCTTTGGCCCTGGGAACAGTCTTCAAACCCCAAATCTCTCCTCTCTTAAGGTGAGTTGCTCCCATGAGATCCAATTTCTCATCCACATGGATAAGTGAAGTTTTTCGAAGCAGCTCACCAGAACATGTCAAATAGGTATGAACTTGAAGTATTATTAATACTCCCCTCATTTACAGATCTCTTCCTCCAACCAGGATATATTTTTTTAAATCCTGTTTTACACAATGACAATTGTGAAAAATTACTATTAAATTATCTGTAACCAGAAACAGTGTTTCATAGATAGTAGGTATAGCAAAAATGTGACCAAAGCAACTGCTATAAAAGGGACACAGAAAAAATAAACTTAAAAGTTCCTGTAGCTGGATAAGTTCCCTTATGTTTTATCTATTGCTATATAACAAACCACCTCAAAATTTAGTGCTAAAGGTAACAATTTACTATTCCTCACAATTCTGTGTTAGCTGCATGGTTCTTCTGCTGATCTGGCATGGGCTTACTCATGCAGCTGAATTCAGCTGGTGGGGCAGGTAGGGGTAGAGCTCACCTGGGCCCTTGTGGTAAGTCTCTCCACGTGATCTTTAATCTTTAAGGAAGGAGGCTATACAAGGCTTCCTGAAATGGTGACAGCAGCATTTCAAAAATATAAGCTCCAATGTACAAGCACTTATAAAGTCTCCACTTGCACCACATTCACTGATGTCGCACCGGCCAAAGCAAGTCACATAACCAAGCCAGAATAACTATGGGAGGGGACTTCATGAGAACCTGGATACTGGGAGGTGTGATTGATTGCAGGCATTAATGCAGCACTCTAATACAGCAGATCCTTAACAGGGCTGTTACTTCTTCTTCTAATCCTCTGATACTTAAATCATGTTATTATTTAACAAAGTTTCTTTCCTATCTGTTCCACACCTTATTTTTTTAAGAGCTAAAGTATTCTTTATGGGTGTTCTAAGATCATACTAGTCCAACATATCAGTGAATGAATGCTTATGGAGGATTCAAAAGTATTTTAAAATTTAAAATGCACCATATGCCACAGCAAATGCTCACTACTAAATTCTTAAAGCTCTTATGGAAGAAATAAAAATTCCTTTGAATGTTAAATGCAAAAGCTTTTAAATACATCAGGGCCAAGTAGTTCCCCCTACCAGGAAGAAAGCCATCATTCTGCCATTGATATCCCATACTCAACCTCTTGAAGTACTTTGCACCTCTAATCAATACTGAATGTATAATCATAAGAAATGTCCAAAAGTGTCCAAAATCTTAAAGTTAGAAAAAGAACCATTATCTTCTGGTTTCCACACCACAAGTACCCCAATGAGCATGACAACAAGATGCCAAAAAGTATGAAAACATTAACAATCTGAAAAATAGTAAAGAGTATAAATAAAATGGCAAAAAAACATAGAAAAGGTAAAAATGAAAAACAATCCATTAACCTTTTTTCATGTTACAAGTTGTTGGTATTTTTAAATGGCCTATGATAATTTAAAGATGAGTTGAATAGGGAAAAATAAACTTTTTGAAACATGGCTATACATCTTGTGGTTAATTTTGACATATACTTTTAATTCTATTGTTTTTTGTAAATACCAATTCAAGTTCAATTCAAGATCCTAAGTTTCTCTGTGAAAATGAATGCATTTTGGAAAAAGGTGTGTGCATAAGTGCCAAATGGTAATCATCAGATAAGGTGGGTCCCTCTGGACTACGGAGGTTAGAACTACGACTAGGGCTAGCACACATAATGATAAAAAGAAGTCAAAACAGCCCTTCTGGCTGTAATTATGATGCCAAACAAGATGTTGCTCTGTGAATAGGTGGCAAAATGCTTCAGAGATTTTCCACTAGGGGAGACAAAATGTGGAACTTTACTTATGCACAGAAGACTTTTTTTGTTGTTGTTAAATTAGGCCAACAGCAAGTTATTTTTAGATTACTTACTTCACTTTCTCTCCTTAATGGGCTGGTATACAAAATAGGACAGAAAATGCACCATATGCCACAGCAAATGCTCAAATCCTAAATTCTTAAAGCTCTCATGGAAATTAAAGAAATCTCTATCTTAAAATATGAGTTTTCCATTCAAATGAAATTAAGACTGTAAATGTTCTGACAGATATTTATCATTTAACAACAAATAAAAATATAAACATTGTTAAAAATACAATCTTTTAGGAAATTTTTTCCTTTAACTATTTTTAGTAAAAATAAGTTCTAAGAAAAAGCTAAAGTTGGAATGAAACATTGACTTACATTTATGATTAAAAGTTAATATATAAAGCATACAGCATTTTCAAATTCTACAGTGACTAACACTTCTTGATTTCCTAAAATTACAAAATTTAGATGACTCATCTACTTGCTCTTTCATAAAATCAATATAAATTCTCTTCAAGCAGTTCAATTTTGTAGAAACACAAACTTTCAAAACTTACTGTTTGTATTTCGACATACTGCATTCTCATTTTATTATTGCAACCACACTTCACAAACTATGTTGTTATTTTGATTTATACTATTAGGATGAATTATGAAGATGAGACAGAATGCATGACATTAAAGATGAAGATGAACATAATACATGACCTTGGAATTAAAATGTATATGCCGATTAAAAAGAAATGCTCCCAACTTCATCAATGACATTGAATCCAAACTATGTTATCAAATACATAATCTATTTTAAAATACATCAATAAATTCAACACATATTATACAACAAAACATTGACCATGTTCTTTGTAATATCCTGCTTTTACTGGAGCAAACAAAATTACAAGACAACAATAAAATCTGACACTTTGGTGTATAACCCACTGAACACAGTTTGCAATTAGGATGAGTAACACAGAGTGCTTATTTCTTCAAAAAAATCACCAAAATATTAAAAGTTTTAGTATTCTCTTACTTATTGTTTTATGAAATTACCTTGTGAGTGTTTCATATGTTAAATGTGAAGGCCTATTTTTTTCCGCTAAAAACAGGGCAGACAAATATTGCTAGATATAGTTCATCATTCTATGTAACCTAGATTTAGCAGATTAAATGTAGCAATTAAATGAAACATTTTTAAATTAATATAGGCTTTCAGGCATATCAAAAATAATTTCTGAATAAAGCTGATCTGTGAGAAACTGTCATTTACCAACAAAACAATGTTAACATGATCTCAATAGATAAATGTATGATGCAAAACTAGGAAACTATTATGATTGCTTAATGTTGCTAAACTAATAGTGCTAATGAAAGTGTATGTAAAAAGGTTATCTTAAACTTATGTTCTAAGTTCTACATTTAAAAATACATGTAAATAATCCCCATTTTAATACATTCCCAAACACCTTAATTCTAAGAAAAATCCTCCAAGAATAATTAGGTCTAATGGCAGTTTTAAAAATCAGTCTATTAGATTTGAATACAAAAATTGTTTTAAAACTTTGAAGAAATCATTATATCTTACCAAAAAATGTATTAACAAAAGCAGAAAATCCTAAATTACTAAAAACATAATGGCTGCTTTTAGGAAACCAGCCTCTGAATATGGAAAGAAGATTTATATGCATTCAGAACTTCACTACAGTTTGTGCCAGATACCAAGCTTGGTCTTGAAATAAAAGTTTATGTCTAGATTATAATTAAAGTAATACTTTATATGGTCAGGTCAATTAATTCTAAAAAGACCAACACTGAAGGTAACAAACAAAAATGGATGTGTCCTCAAAATACACATTACAGTGCTAAACTTATATTGAACAGTCAACCTGGTTCATACTTAGACTCTTTTTAGTCAACTAAATAATAAATAAGATAAAGATGCAGGGAAAAACTTTTAATTAGGAACAAAACTAACTTTTGTTACATCACAAAATAATGTGACTTTGTCAAAATAGTTTGGCTTTATTTTTACTTTCAATGGTAGCTAAATTCACATTTACATTACTTAACACTCATTTTTTACCATATATTGACTTTAAAATTTTACTAAAGTTGACCTCTAAGTAAGTACAATGGAATCCCAAGATTCCACATTGTATGAGTAGATATTTCTAGGGCAGGACCAGACCGTGAAAAAACAATGATTACAAAACTTGTATATTGGTTTAAATTCATCCATTATTCCCAATCAAAATGAAGCCCTTCCCATGACACAATACTGCATAAAATAGTTACTACCCACACACAGTAACCACTTTTTAAGCATGTGCTTTTTATTATAGGATCACTAACATATGCTCCCAACACCAACGAGCTAAAGAATATGTATCACTTGCCAAACCTTTCTTCCACTGAGCACATATCTCCTCAGTAAATAATTATTTCCAGACAAATAGGAAAGGGAACTGTGCTTCTTTGACTAAATTATCCAACCTAGTACTGAAGGGGAGGGGAGAGACATGAGTGTGAAATTATCTTTAAAATGCTCTTCCTTAGTGCCTAACACCTATAATTAAAAGCTTGGTATTTTCAACCTGATTTCTTCAATGTGCACATGTAAAATGGTAGTCAATAGTATATATAAGATAGTGTATTATTATAGCACCACAGCAGTACTCTGTGAAAAGTTCACTTCATAGGATAAAATGGTCTCGACCATTAGACAGAAAGGAGAGGATTTCAGTTCCAATACAAACTGGTAATTAATTAGCCTTGTTTATAAAAACAGAAAGCTACTCCATTTCAGAACCAGGAAAACTGGCTTCCTAAATTCCTAAACATTGCCAACTTAAGAGTAAAATTCCCAGATTAGTTATAGGCCCAGGAACAGGTCCTCAGAACAGGAGAGCAGCTGTTGCTACAAAAGAAACTGCCTAAGATACCAAATCAAATGACATAGAAATCATTTATCTAACCCTATTACTGGAATACAAGACGAATACTAATAAGAGAGTCAAAATGACACACAGAAAGTAGGGATCTCTTAAATTTTGTATATTAAACTGCTTATAAAACATATTTCTCCAGAAAATGAGATTTGATTATAACTATGAGTTTATTAACTTAAAAACATACGTAAAGCAAATAAATAAGGTCTAAGGCTTTTGATTAAAAAAAGAATATTCTATAAAACTGAGACAATCTTAAAATGGGGTAGCATTTAGTTTTGCCACATCTAATAGCCTCAGAGAACTTCATGAATAAACAATTGTAACACTACTTGCAAATACCACAAACAAAAATTCAAAATTAATTTTTAAGTTTCAGGTTTCAGGTTTCCAAGGTTATACAGGTTCAGATAAAGACAGTATCCGACATCTAAACACATTCACAAAGTCAGATTTTCCTCTAAAGAATGTTTCTGGATCAGCTGTTTGTAACATAACTGCCTGACCAAAGGGGGCAAGAAATGAGGAACATGATATATCTACTTCTGGTAAATTGCTATTTCCCTTTCTTCCAGCTCCTCAAAATTAATAGGGTCAGATACGAGGATGCTCTTTTAGCAAAACAAGTTGCCCATCCTAAACCCTGGCACTTTAGTTTTTAAGATGAAAAACATATAAAACAATGCCACCAAACAAATAAAAACAGAAAAAAAAAAAAAGGAGGGGACAGCAGCTAGGAAAAACGAGAATCAAAAGATCCCTAGTTATCACTAAAGGGAGGGCATCTACCTGGCAGTTACTATGTTGGATGTTTACAAATATGGTTTTAAATTCATATAAAAATACTACAATATAGTTATTTTGTCTATATTTTACAGGTGAGATAAAAATTAGGTTCACAGATGAAAGAACTTGCCCAAGGTCACGCAGCAAGGATGTAGCTGCGCCTAGAATTTGCTCTCCATCTGTCTGATGCCAAAGCCTCCTTCCATGAAGTTAAGTCCACATCTCCATTAACAAATATTCCTGCTGAGCCTCCACTGTGTGGACACAAATGCTGCAAAAAACTACAGAAGCAACAGAAGACATCGTTTCTGCTTTCCAGGCAGTTAACATCTAAGAAACATTCTGAAGACTCAGATTCTCAATTCATGAGAAGTAGTGTGAAATATACAGAGGAAAGAGCACTAGACCAGGAAGAGGCAGACGACTCACTTACTCTGGGCTTTGCTATTTACCAGCCACATAACCTTAGGTATAATAATTTCTGTTATTTTCTTATCTGCAGAGAAGATATATCTGCCTTAATCGTCTCGTCAGCCATCTTATAAAATTAGAACTCATGCTCAAAGGTCTGGGCCACCTCCAAACCCAAAGCTTTACCTCAGATTCTAAATTCACCTCAGAGAATAATGTGAGATGACCCATTTCTCAAGGGAAACTGAAGGAAGAATGTTCAGAAGCCAGGTGATTAAGAAATTCTCTGTGGAAAATGAGAGTTTACAAAAGAAGAAACTGCATCTGGCTAGTTGGGAGGTCCATGAACTAGTTAGCATCAACCACCACAAGCATTTAAAATAAATAAACTAAATTACTTTTTCTGTCTTAAGTACTAGTATCACAACACAATTTTTATCACAAACTAATTTTAGAACATTCTTTTTCTATGGAAAACGTGTATTCCCAATTCCAAACAGCCAACTGACAAACTTTGGAAAGCTGTCTAGACTTCAATATGTTTGACTGAAAAAGACTTAATGAAATTCTTCAGATGATTCCCCAAACTGACTTTATTTTGTGTAATTTTAAACTAACCACTAAAATAATGTATATATTGAGACAAAAGGCTAAAAAAATTAACTGAAATGTCACAGAAAAAATTACACAAAAACTGGTACAAACTAAAATGTGCCAGTCTTTAGACAAACCCACGACTATCTCATCATTTCTCTCTCCATTTTTCTCAATCCCTGTCTTCCCTTCTCAGTCTCAGAGTATTCCCTCCTTTATATAATTTGTTTTCTATATGTGAAATTACTGATTTCTTTTAGATTAGTAATAGAAACTCAAAACCAGAATATACAGATCAGACGTCCATGGGAGTTGGCATTTTAACAGTTTTCCCTAAATTATTACTATGAATCGCAAAATTACCACAGTTAATTTTTCACATTTTTAAATTATATTCAAGATATTTCCTCAGCATCATGATAACATTTTACAATCTTATTATGTTAAAACATATAAGATATCTTTATTTGAATAAATGTATTTATTTTCTAACAATAAAAAGTGACTCCAACTAATGCTATATTTAGCTTGGTTTGTCATAATTTACTTAGGCATTTTGCAAGGGAGAATACAACTGCCACATCAAGAAACATTCTAAGTTTACTTTAACTTTTACTACCACATAGTGAAATGTAAATTAATAACTAGTTAAAATGATTAAGTGTTCTTGTTGGAAAACATGACTGAAAAAGAGAAATAACAATAGAGCTCTTTAAGGAAATAAAGACTACAAAATGTACATATCAATAGTTTTTCAATTACATTTTTCTTAAATTTTCATCACCTATGCTATCAACAGTATTTTACCTCTAGTTGTATTTCCTCATCCTCCATTAACATTTTCTAAAAATAAAAAGAGAACTTCACTCTGAGGAAGACCATAATAGATAATTAGCCATGCATATCTCAACAGCCCCCATACCTGACTGCATTAGGTCTTTTTGCACTTTTCATTTTTTAGGTCACACAGTAACTGTAAGTAATGTAACAAAACCACAGCCTTGCCTGTATTTTCTCATACAGCCAAGCCCTGACTCATAAATATTTCACTTCTTGTTGTCTTAATTCTAAAAGAGATTAGGCTGTATTTTTAAATAAGTGCTTTATTTAAAAATACTTCTCTTCTGAAAGCCATGCTGCCCATAATTTTGGTAAAGCAACAAGTACACCATCATAAAAAGGACTTTCATTCAGCACAATGGCAACCACCTAGACCTACGAACCAAAAATCTTAAACACTCAGAAATACAGAAATCATATAATTCTGAACTAAATTACTTCACAAAGAAATTCAGTATTATAGTATAGAAGAATGTCTTCTGAGCCTTAAAATGATAAGAATAGAGTTCACATAAGAGAATTTAGTCAAAGAAAATTCAAAATGAATTCAAAGGGGGAGATTGAAGGAATGGCTATTATGGGTTAGTTGGAAGTCAAAAATCACAAAATCCTTATTTAAGATGTTGAAAAATGGTGATAAAAATAGATAACAATTCCCAAGGGAAAAAATGAAATTATTTTGTTCAATTTACAAGTCTTTCATATATAAAAGGAAACAAATGTTACCTCTAAATCAAATCTCCTGTCAAAAAGAGATACATATTCTGAAGAAAGAAGTAGTTAAACAATCCATTAGCTAGCTGAGTATTGTGGATTTGCCCATAGCAAGGAAGAAAGAACATAACACATAAAGGAAAAGAACTTTCCAATCCTCATTTTCAGTCTTTTCGTTCATCTCCCCCATTTCCCCCAGCTGAAATTGTGTAATCTACAAGGTTTACATCAAAAATAAGAACAGAAACATTCCTCTACACAGACTAGGCAAGGTTAGTTTTAGTTATCTTAAAAAAAATAAATAAATACCAGAATACATTTTTTAAAACCTAAAGAGCCACTGTAAATAAATATAGCTGGAGATCCTTTTTACCCAAAGACACAGAAGAAAACCTCATTATCTGGCTGCTTGAGAGCCCTGGTGTAATCAGCTTCCCAATGTCCCATTCCAGTCAGATACTTCACTAATCTAATTGCACCCTGGGCCAATGGGCTACCCATGTCCTGACTTAACAAATAACACAGAAATACCTCTGGATTGTGACAAAGCTTTATCTCATACTTAATGCTGCCAATGCTGTTTCTGAAGCTTCATGACTCTGTTACCTGTCTGGAGACATTTCTCACATTTTTGTTCGGCCCTGAACTCTGGTAAAATTATGTAATTGTTATTCATGGTTCACTATCTAGATCTCCGAAGATTCAGCTGGTCATTGTACTTTATTATCCAAATTTATATTGTAATACTAATGATACCAAAAGTCAAGCACTGAACAACTTATTTACTTACTGATAATTTCTTATCTCTGAGAACTACTACTTTAGACTTAATTGCAATGAAAAGGGAAGAACTATTTCAAGGAAGAGCTTGTGAGAGAATTTTTGGAAGTCCATGTTAATGTTAAGCTCATAATTCCAAGCAAGTGAATGAAATGTGGCATGGATTTTAGAGACAGAGATTTAAAAGATATGTCTATATTTATATGAATAACCATTGGGGTGTGTGTGTGTGTGTGTGTGTGTGTGTGTGTGTGTGGTGTGTGGTGTTTGTATGTGTGTAGCAAAATATGGTCCATGGGTTAAAACTAGCCCACTGCCTGATTTTGAATGGTGAGGTAAGAATGGGTTTTTTTTTTTTACATGTTTAAATGGTTGAATAAAAATCAAGAGAATATTCCATTAAATATGAAAATTATAGGAAATTTAAGTTTAAGTGTCCATAAATAAACCTTTCTGGAACACAGGCACAGTCATTCATTTAGGTATTGTCCATAACTGCTTTTATAGTATAATGGCGGTGAGAAAGTGCAATAGAGATCAATGGTCCACAAAGCCTATATCATTTACTATAGAGACCTTTACAGAAAAATTTCATCAACTCCTGTCATATATGATGGCTCAGCATAAAATTCTAAAATCAATAATGGTTTGGGACACCTCATCTATTGAAATTATGAATTACTAAAGTAAAATAATGATCCTCCAAACTCAGAAAACACTACCAAAGAAAAAATTAGAAAATATCCAAAGAAACACAAGAGTTATACAAGCATTCTTCAACCTTAGAAGTGACATACATGGCAAGAAACAGTATAGAAACATGGCTCAAATATTTAATAAATGCTCAAAATGAGATAAAATAGACCAAAAAACAAAAAATTTAAGGACACTTCAAGATCTAATTTAGGTATGGAAAAAATATTAACTAAGGGATGATCTTCTGTTTGGTGATCATGATTATCATCAGATAACTGAGATGAAACAGAACTTGAATCCTGCTTTTGCCTTCTAGACACACACACACACACACACACACACACACACACACACACAAAATGTTGAAGCGAAATGGAAAATCAAATATGATTAATAAGAAAAATCAAAGCTCAGAAATTAATGAGGACAATGAGTCACTTTAAATAAGTCCAGGTATACATGACCAATAGATTACAGCTTCAAGGCTTGTAAATATTATCACAGAACCACAGCTGATAACCTTGGAAGAGTTACAAAATAGAGGAAAACAGACATAATACATAAGAAGGGCAAATGTTCTCTTATTTTTTTAGGTAAAAGGATTCTAGAAAATGAAGATCAGTGAGCATGACACTATTCCCCAACAAAATTCTAGAGCAGGTTATTAAACAGATGGTTTGTGAGCACTTAAAAATTTTCTAAAAACCTGCCATAGACATGTTAAAAATAATCCATGCCAAACCTTGTTTCCTTTTCTGACACTGTTACTAGATAAGTAGATCAGAGAAATGTCTTAGCTGCACAATATCTGGACCAAGAAAAGTATGGAGAAAGTCTGTCATGGCCAACTTGGAGTAAATCAACTTACTATTTGTGTAATTTTGGACAAATTTCTTAACAACTGGGGTGAGAGGCAAATTTTCATGGGTCTCTCCTGTTTCTGCATGTCTTGTTAGCAGAGGCACTGGCAGCTTTTGTTCTGGACTATCTTTTGTCTAAAAAACAGCCTTGGAATACCCTCTGAAAGAAAGAGTAAATTTGCTTACAGTTCATCATAAAAGACTGGGCTTCCTAAACATGGGGTTCCTCATTTGTGACACAACTTGTTGAAGGTGAAACATCAACCCAAACCACCCTACAGAGTTCCTGTGGGACTTGGGGGACAAGAGCACAAAAACAAACATGAAACTCATGCTGCTTGCTATAATATTAGTAACAGTCTTGTCTCTGACTCAGGAGTCCTGTGTTTCCTGAGCATCAACAAAACATGGGCTGGTTAATTTGCTGGTTTGCAAATAGAGTAAATCTCAGACCCTTCACAGTTGACAATCTGTGACTCAGACTTGCCATTCATAAAATGGGGATAATAACATTCTTATAAAGAGATTATGAGGATTAAATGAATTTGTACACACAAAGTGCTTAGAAAAGTGCCTGCTTAAGCTAACTGCTCAATAAATGTTAGCCATTAAAATTTCAAATACATATCAGTAGCTAAACAATCACACCCAAAGGACTAATGACAAGTGAAGGAGTACACCCTTACTAGAAATGAAAAAGGCTCTATTCTTAACCACGTTTTGCTCAATATTTTTAAAATAATTGAGCAAAACTATGAAATGTATTAATCACAATTATGGATGACACAATTGCTAACATAAATAAAAGAATTAGAATTTCTTCAAAATCTTTACATGCTGGATAACTGAACTTAAAAAACAAAAATTTAATGGAGATACAAATCTTACTTTAAGAATAAATTATTCAGATGGTATATAAATTGCAATTTATCAAAAAATGAGTTTCAGTTTCATTAACAATGTGACACATCTGTTAGAGAAAAATTGAGATAAAGTTTTAATATTTCTATATTAGGCAACACTTATAGTACGGTATTTAGTTCTGGACACAACATTTTAAAGGAAAACTTCAGCAAATATGGATTTTTAGCAAACATGAATATTAATACATAAAGAATAAGTGAAGAAAAGACTTCTTCAGCATAGAAAAAATTCTGAGGAAATGAAAATTTTTCAGATGTCTAAAAAGTTATCTATGTAAAACATCCTGTGTAAATACAAAGCACAGAGCTAAAAATAATGGTTGATTCCAATTCACTGTAAGGAAGAACTTTGTATCAATTAATTTTTTTCAAATATTAGACATTACAAAAACAAGTTCTTCACTCATGGCAGGTTTTTAAAAAATAATTTTTATTGTGCGTTTTTAAAGTATACAACATGATATTATGGAATATACATAGACAGTAGAAAGATTACTATAGTGAAGCAAATTAACATATTGATTACCTCAAGTAGTCATCAATTTTGATTTGCTGGCAGGACCAGCTAAAATCTTCAGTTAAATGAATCCCAATTTTATTACCCAAAACCCTCATGTTGTATATTAGATCTTTAGACTTATTCATCCTACGTATCTGTGACTTTGTATCCTTTGGCCTACATGTCCCCATTTCCTCCCCAAGCCCCATTCCCACAAACACTATACCATTTTATATCAGAGACTTGAGCATCCTTGGATTCTGGTGTCCAAGGGAGGTCCTGGAACCAATGCTCCGCAGAAACCAAAGGAAAACTGAATATACCACAGTTTCTTTATCCATTCATCTGTTGATGAACACTTATTTCCATATCTTGGCTACTGTGAATAATACTGTAATGAGCATGTGAGTACAGATATCTTTATGGGGTGATCTCATTTCCTTTGGGTATATGCCTAGAAGAGGGATTTGTGGGTCATATGATAGTTCTATCTTTAATTTTCTTTGAAACCTCCATACTGTTTTCCATAATGGGCATACCAATCTACATTCACACCAAAGCGGACAAGAGGTGCCTTTTCTGCACAGAAGCACGACATTTGTTATCTTTTGACTTTTTGATAGTAGCCATACTAACAGGTGTGAGATGATACCTCACAGTGGTTCTGATTTGCATTTCCCTGATAATTTATCATGTTGGGCACCTTTTCATATACCTGTTGGCCATTTCTTTGTCTTCTTTGGAGAAATGTCTATTCGGGTCTTGTTATTTTTTAATCTGATTGTTTCTCTACTGTTGAGTTGTATGAGTGCTTTTTTTCTGTTTGTTTGTTTGTTTGTTGAGACAGGGTCATGCTCTGTCGCCCATGGTGGAGTGCAGTGGGCTAATCACAGTTCACTGCAGCCTCAACCTCCTGGGCTTAAGCGATCCTCCCACCCCAGCCTCCTGAGTAGCTGGGATCACAGGCACAAGCCACCATGCCCGGCTAATTTTTGCAGTTTTTCTAGAGACATGGTTTCACCATGTTGCCCATGTGATCCCACTCCTGGGATCAAGCATTCCACCTGCCTTGGCCTCCCAAAGTGCAGGGATTACAGGCATGAGCCACTGTGCCTGGCCTAGTTATATGAGTTCTTTTAAAATTTTGGATATTAACCTTTTACCAGAGATAAAATTTGCAAATATTTTTCCCAGTCTGTAGACTGCCATTTCACTTTAACTGATGCCTTTGCTGTGGAAAAGCTTTTTAGTTGTCCCATTTATTTATTTTCGTTTTTGTAGCCTGAGCTTTTGGTGTGACTTCCAAAAAAAATCATTGCCAAGGCCAATAGTCTTTCTCCTATGTTCTCTTCTAGGAGTTTTATAATTTCTAGTCCTACATGTAGGTCTTTTATCCATTTTGAATTGACTTTTGTATCTGGTGTAAGATAAGGGTCCAATTTCATTCTTTTGCATGCAGAAATCCAGTTTTCCCAGCACCGTTTATTGAAGAGATTATACTTTCCCCATTGTGTCCTCTTGGTGTCCTTTCCAAAAATTAGTTGACCATTTGGATTTATTTCCAGGCTCTCTATTCTGTTCCACTGGTCTATGTGTCTGATTTTAGGCCAGTACTATACTGTTTTGATTACCACAGCTTTGTAATATAATTTTAAATCAGGAAATGTGATGCCTCCATCTATGGTTTTTGAAAGTCATCAGCCAGAGCTAAGGTAATGAGGATTCCCTCCTTCATGTTCATATGTCTTTACACTGTGCACAACTGTCCCTAAAAAAACAAACCCCTGGCCAATTTCTCCAGGCTTATCGTCTCCCCGGTTTCTGTTACATTTCAGCTTAGCATTTTCAAACTAACAATTTGTTCTTGGCAGCCTGTCTATATATTTTATTTACCTCTCTTGTTATCCCCACTTTTCATGCTCTATGTCCCATAGGCAATTTGACAAAGACTGCTTGACAAAGATTCCTAGACTTCTATCTCTACCTCTCATCTGACTTGGGCGGAAGATTAGAAAATTATTTCATGATCTCAAAGTTTCCTTTCAACTCTAGGATTCTTCAATTATTTGTTTTGCCATTAACAGAAATTGATCAACACACAATGATTCAGGAATGAATAAATAAGTGAAAGAACATTATTAAACAATTGATAATGAGCTTCTTCTGTAAGAACTAGCAATCTGACTGGGTCTTATATCAATCAGTCAAATAGATGACAAGGAGTGCAAATGACTTGAAAAACAAACACCTGTGGGAATAAGGAAAGGCAGTATGAGAGCAAAAGAGAGGCTGGGGTGGAAGTGGGAATGGAAGGTGGAGAACTATGGTGAAGACCTCAAGATTAAATTCTTAGAAAGTATTAACCAGTAAAATCTCTCATTTTGTTTATAAGCCAAGCACCTGCTAATAAGCCTAAATGTAACTTAAGGCTATATAAAAACTTACTTGAATGAAAAATAAGAGGAAGATTCTAAGCTCCAAGGAAAAAGCAACTATATACTTGCAAGGGCAAAAATGATATACACAACAATATAAATTAATCTCAAATGCATTACGCTAAGTGACACAGGCATGACTCCAAAAGCTACCTACCTTATGACTCTATTTACATAACAGACTTGAAAAGACGAAACTATAGAGACATAAAACAGATTAGTGGTTACCAGGAACTAGATGGTGGGAGGAAGGGTTGAATAAAATCCCTATGAAGAAATCTGAAGGATTATACAACTATTCTGTATATTAAGTGTGGTAGTGATTACACAGCTATATGTTTGTCAAAAAATAAAGAACTGTACACTAAAACGTGGTGAATTTTACCATATGGAAATAATCTTTAATTAAAAAATGATGAAAGTGCTTAAAACAATTATAAAGATGAGTAATTAAAATATGGCTTGTGTCATTAATAAACCATAATAAAAGTAAATATTTTGAGAGAAAATTATCAGCATAATTTCTACAATAAAGTAATCAAAGTATTATTTTAAAATTAAATGTCAAATGTATAAACAACTTGCTTTTTATAATTAGCATTTCCACTGTTTCATGAATAGTTAACATGTAAACATAAAACTACTCATTCACATTCTATTTTTAAAATATCCTCCCATAAGAAATGTAATTCTAGGAATAAGAAGATAAACATTAAAATTTTGTATTACTTACATATTCTGTATTTTATTACCATATTCTAGAGTACTGTGCAACTGCACTTAAACTTTGCTCTTACATCGCCAGAAAAATGAGTTGTTTTTAAAATAACAAACCTTATAATAATGATGTTCCTTTAATATAATATGAATAAGCATGTGCATATACTTATTCGTATTTTAGAATTCTGCATCATTTCAGCCCAATGGGAATGAGATGTTTTCAGGACACAATTAGGAAGATATCAAAGAGAAAAGATGTAAAAATCTAATACCAATTAGAAATAAATTGCACTGTCGTTTTACTGTGTGTAGAATATTTTGAACATCGGACACGTACGATTAGGGATGGCTTGACGTTATTGAAAATTACAAAGAAGCAAAGTTAGAAGGGATAAAAGGGCAACTTAAAGGCATACTTTTCTGGAAGTAAAGGAATATTATAAACTGATCAAGACAATAACGTTTTAAAACCATTTTATTTGGGATAACAAAGTCAGACTGTTGAGTTAATTTCATTTTTAGTCATAGGAATAAACATTCTTTGTAACATTTAACAATGTAAAATGTATTGAAATGTATGAGTATTTGAAAGCTTACATCACTGCTAAAAACTACCATAATTATTATCCCCGGCTTTCCTTGGTTGTGCTGAATCTGCATAGTGAGCTGATGGTGACAAAGAAAGTCGCCTTCGCACACTTCATGAAGTATGTATATGTTGCATGATGTATATGTCACGTGATGGGGACTGGGAAAGCAAAGTAGGGAAAAAACAACCTAGATGAAGCTCTAAATATACTTTTTGGCAGACCCAAAGGGAAGAAGAAAGATGTCTCAAGAGATTTAGGTCAAAACTTCTTATGTGGTGCACTGTATAAAACCCCTGTGCCCTTCCCATTAAGCCAAACTACAGCAAAGATATGTAGTATTCCCACAGTTGGAGTTGTGTTTCCTTCTAATGTAGCACAATGCATAGACTGGATAATGTATGTCTGTGCATGTAAAGTCCATTAAAAAGGAGAGCTCTAATTTTAAAAAGACGAAGTTTATCAAACAGCTTATCCACTCCCCACTTGATTTCTCGACTGGTGCCACCAACAGCTAAATATATAAATGAGCACAGGACCAACACAACATTGTGAATAAATTAGTATTTATGGATGGTAATGATAGAAGCGTCAGGGAAAAGAATGCCAGGTGGATATTTATGTTTCTTAATCCTAATGTGATCAACTCCACATGCACTCTACCTTCTCTCATTGTCTTACCATTATGTCTAAATAAGGGGAGGGTCCATTTCTGACTGGGAAGGAGGGGAATGATCTTAAGATACCTATTAGGATAAGACAGCTGAAAAAAAAAAACCCTTTAAAAATTTAACTCAGCCCTTTGAGCTTCACTAGCAAAGTGACTGTGGTCATTTTTCTTTGTTTAAATAGTTTTTATTTTAGGAAATATCTTCTCTCATTCTTCAGTGTATGTTCATGGGGTATCAGGAAGAAAACATGTTATACAAATAGCTTTAGATTTGATTCCATGCATTTCTTAAAATGTTTTAATTGGAAGTAATTTAAAAGCTACTGTAGTATCTTTTGGAGGAAATGACTCACCCAATATCATGCAATAGTTATAGACAGGTATAGTACCAGAATGCAAGTCTCCCAGCACTCAACATGGATTACTCTTTATAGTAAACCATGCTGGCTATTTAACGATGTGGGATAATAACTAGATACTTTTCACAACTATTCATCTTCATTCTCAGTCTTATATGCATTATTATCATCATACATGTCCTTTAATGTAAAATTTCCTACTCGCAACAAGGAAAGGAGAGTTCACTGAGATTTGGAATAGCCAGGTCACAACATGGAGGACACTGGGCATTTAAGGGGCAAGGGAATGGGAGTAGGTGTGAGTTAATAGTTTTGTGGGTTTTTTTTCCCAACCTGGACAACATAGCGAGACCTCATCTTTATAAAATTTTAAAAATTTAGTGAGGCTTGATGGTGTGCCTGTGGTCCCAGCTACTGCAGAGGCTGAGGGGAGAGGATCACTTGAGCCCAGGAGGGCGAGGTTACCATGAGCTGTGATCACAGCACTGCACTCCAGCCTGGTCAATAGAGCGAGACTCTGTCTCAAAAGAAAAAAGTAAAAATAATTTTTTAAAAGAGGAAAAGAGGGGTAATTATGTATAAAACCCACTTTGCCTGGCTTCAGTTTCCCAAGGGCCACATATCACTAATGGTATGTCAGAATTATTTTCAGTCTGTGGAGGGGAAAAAGGAAAGAGAAAAATGAAAGGAAGAAAGGAAGTAGGCTAAGAAGGGAGACATTCTCCTTCATTATCAACAGAAAATATTATAGCCTCCTTTTCATATTCTCAAGACGTTTAGAATAAAATTTCTGAGCAAGTTAGTGCAATTTTAAATATGAACAAAGTATGTGAGAGGGAGATCTGTAGGGCATTATGCTTATATGAAAATATTTGTGTATTAGTGTGGTGTTATATGGAGGGCTGTATCACTTATTCATGACTTCGTATTCAAAAGCAATTTGAGCAAGCTAAACAGTGGGATTTTAACTTTAAAGACTTGGAGTTTTCATCAAATCACAAATCTTTAATCTGGTCTGTTTAAGTATATATACTGAAAAAAGGAAAGAAAACAGAATTTGTAAACTTACAGTATGTTTTCCAATGCAAAGAAGTAAAGTCATCTAAATGTGGTTATAAATCCCAGAAGAGATCCTGATTTGACCCATTTCCCTCCATCTTTCCCCATAAAAAATAACAGAAATACTTGGCTTGTCCTTGCTGTATTCATAGTTTACCCATTAGAAATATTTACATACACTTAATTCTATTCATGTTAAGGTATAATGATGAATGTTATGATCAAATCCATCAGTTTAACTTTCGGTAAATATTATTATATTAGAGCACTGAACTACTAAAAGTTTGTTGTCCAAAACCACAAATATTCACTCACAACTTTCAAAATTTAAGTGTTATGTTGTTTCTCAGATCAATAATTTAAAATATAGATTTTAAAATCTATATTTAAATGGGATATAGAAAATGGAACTTGAAGTATACTCACCTGAGACGAGGGCCATGACTTTGCCAGTAACGAACAGTGTTTCCCAATGTGATATGATATAAAATGGGTGTAGGATAAAAAAAAAAAAGTAAAAAGTAATTTCAAAGCAAGTTATGCAATGATATAGATGGAAGTAACTTCTTTGGCCTCCTATGAAACATTCATTCCTTCATTCGACATTTACTTATGGGGCTCTTCCCAAGTGCCAGGCACTGTTCTAAGTATTGAGTTAAACCAAAGCAAAACAAAATCCCTGGCTCCATGGAACCTACATGCCACTGGGGGAAAAGATGTTAAATAAACATGTTTTCTAAATGTCAGTTAATGATAGTACCATAAAGAAAAATAAAATATGGTAAAGGTAGAGTGATCCATGAGGATTTGTTACTTTATATTGGACAGTTAGAGAAGGCTTCTCTAACAAGGATATGTTTGAGCAGAGACCTCCTGAAGTTAGTGAAGATACAGGAGGATAGATCATTCCAGAGAAAAGCTCTGGAGTAGGAGTCAGCTTATCTTGCTTTTAGGAATATCAAGGAGGTTTATATGTCCACAGTAGGCCAAATGAGAGAAAAAACAACAAGACCTTATGTAACATCTATTTTATTCTGAGAGACATAAGAAGCTTTTGGAAGGCTTATACAAGAGGAACACAGACATATTTTCAAAAGATCACTCTGCTGTGTGGAGAATAAACTGCGGTGCCTGGAGGGAGAAGAAGCAGGATCAACTAAGTAGTTATTGCCACAGTTCAAGTAGGAGATGATGGTGTATCTGGCCAGATTGGTAGCAGTGGCTGTACAAACTATATGTATAGAACAAGATCATTTTTTGTTGCCATTTAGCTAAACTAAAGGTAGACTCCATAAGGAAAAAAATTGAAAACAAAAAGGAAGTGAAGAGTTAGCTACAGGCATACAGACATAGATCAACCAAATCCTGGAACATAAATTTGGGTGAGGTAATAGTGAGGAATGGTTCTTAAAGATGTTGGGGATCTTTTTTTAAAAAAAAATGAGATGATTTTATGACAGTCTACATATGTTAAGATGGTAAGATATTTGGATTAGTGTACTGTAAGTTTTTCCTCACTATCTGCCAGTGAGAAATTTTATAAGTGCTTTCTCCAAAATATGTCTACCACTGATTTTTTCCTACCCCTAAAATACATTTTAAGAAAGTTTTTTTTTTTAAGGTTGAGAAAAAGTTGCAAAATGATGGCTATCGT
The DNA here is from genome assembly GCF_000001405.40 of Homo sapiens. Lineage (NCBI taxonomy): Eukaryota > Metazoa > Chordata > Mammalia > Primates > Hominidae > Homo > Homo sapiens. The sequence continues at coordinate 114,092,490 of NC_000007.14, read as the reverse complement.
TGGGTGTGTATACTAAAATGATACAAAGCTAAAATAATAAAGAAAACTTTCACAGAGAATGCCATCAAATAAACATAAAATTAAATACCAGAAAATCTTTAAGATATTTCTAGTAGCATTCTTTCTTTGGGGAATTCAAAGTTAATTTCCTTAATCTGCTAAAAAAGAAAAAAAAATCTTTAAGACATTCTAATGGTATAATCTTATAGACTTCCATTAGAAAAATCTTCAAGAGGAAACACTAAAAACTTAAATAAATTTTAAATCAACATTAACAACACAACGTACATTTTAAGTCTTTCATGACAGAAATTAAAGCAAATTGAAGAACATTAATAAACTAAAAAAATGCTGAGATCTCTTAAACCACTGGGAATTCATTTTCTTCACAGCAATGTGCTTTTCAACATTTAAACTGTATTCACTCTTGTTAACGAAAATAATTTGCCACAGCAGAAAAAAAATGAAGAATCAGTTCTGTATAACATATTATACTTATCAATATAATGGGAAGGTATGTTCTAGATATACTTGGCAGATAGTAGGAAGAGAGAAGGGTACAACCAACCTCAAAGCTGAATTCAAGCAGTAGTTGAGTACAGGTCCAAGAATGTGTATTTCAATAATCAAAAAATGCAAAAGGTTGAACCTAAACCCCATAGATGATTTACGGAGAAAATGTATTTTTTAAAAAAGTTTAGATAGATTTAGTTAAATTGAGTAAATTTAACCATTCAAATTGTACTTGGCAAACTGGAAGAATGAACAAAAATACAAGTCAATTTAGAGAGAGTAAACAAAGTTCACAATTACAACATGAAACAGTAAAAGTGAATCCAGCTGTAAATCATTAAAATATAATGTATTAAAGATGAAATTGAGGTGATGTCAGTGTACTTTTAGAGCACAGATATACTCTGTTAAGTTGGCTGGTAGGCAAATATCTGTATAGATAAATACAAATTCCTAATCACTCCAATTATAAAATTGAGATTATACTCCTAAAAATAATTAGGCCAATACTTAATATCACATTTGAGGAAACAGCAAATCGCCAAGGCAACTATTTAAAGAAAAACTAGCTTTCATGAATATTACTACTGAAAATATATCACTGTATACCCTTAAATTTACTTTATAATTTTAATACTAAAAGTGTTGCAACGTAAGAAATCTAAATCTTCTCTAAAAACTCTCTCCAGCTTCTCAATATTCTACCACTAACCTCTTCATTAGGTCATACTATTTCTTTATGCTTCACCACAGCTAGGCACTTTTTTGTTTGTTTGTTTTGTCTGGGAAATTTAGGGCAGGAATGGATAAATACACAGAGCAGAGCAAAATAGTATATAAAAAATACTTAGAGGGAAGTAAGCAAGTGGAAGTACCCATTTATTTTACAGGAAAGAATATCTGCAAGAAAACAATATTCTATAGGGAAGAGTATCCTACAATATTAGTATTTCTGTTATTCAATAATAATAAATTTTCACATAACCAAAGCTGGGCTAAAAAAAAGTGATGGCATTTTTAGACAACCCTTCTAACTATGCTTAGCTGTTAAATATGTTACAGGGCCCACTTTGAAGTTCTGAAAATCAAATGAGGAAGCTAAAAGTCTAGAATACCTCCATAAGAAAGCAATGAAAATGACCTAAGCCTCATGAAAAAAAAAAAGTTCCAAGAATGTAAATAATTGTACTTAATAAAGACTATAGAATTGATAGGACTTTAGTCCAAGTACACTAAGAGATACATAGTTGAACCTAAGAAAATGTTTATTTCACCTAAGGAAGGAATAAAACTAAACTACAACATTTAAAATTTGAATTAGGCATTAGAATATTTGCAGACCATGAGCACTGGAATATGTTTTTTTTAAAGTTTCAAGCACAGGGATTACCTTTACAGAAGCTTTAAGAATATAAAGAGGAATCTTTCTGGGTTGGATTTATTTGAACTCTATGAATTAAGGGCTACATAAATAAAGTTGTTTTTGAAATCAGTGCTAATATTAAACTCTCATTAGGCCAATTTTAAGATACAGGCTTTCTTTTATCAAAGAGTAGTATGAATTTGGGCACTGGTTAGAACATTTTGGGTCCATTCATTTATGAATAAGACAACTACTATTTATCACAAAATTCAAGAAAAAAATAGCTTGAATGTGCCAAAAATTAATATTCAGCAATTGTAATAAAATTGACACTATTTCTGAATTCAACTGACTTACAATTTTGTCTATTAACAATCATGTTGAGAAAACTTCTTAGAGACCTGTGTGCTCAATCTCATTCTCTTCTTACAAGTTAATGGCCTCTTTCCAATTTAATTCAGAGAGGCAGAAAATACATGACGTTCATCATTTTGTTTTCTATCAGTATTATAACTAATAGCTGATTTAACATGACACAAAAACAAACAAGGGTGATGAGGCTGACCCAGATAGAAATCCAAAAACGTCACAAATAAAATCCCTTTTATGTAAATAAGTTTTATATCCTTCACATCTTCTGTTGAAATAAAAATGGTAAATAATTTCTCTGGCTACATTCACTATACTGTTACATGCTCTATGAATCTTAATCAAACCATGCAGTTATTTTCACATACTTCAATATACTTTTCATGAAGTATAATTCTAATATCTATGCAAAGAGACTTGTTTTGTGTGTTTGAAATTTTGTTTGTACAAAGGAAATATAACTTCTCATTACAGATTACCTGTACATATAATGTTCACCTTTTTCTACTTTTATGGTGTGCCACATACAACTATTTCCTCCCTATTTTAGGTTTCTAGAAAATTACAAAGGTTTATCTTATTTTTTTTTTAAGCAAAGCCACTGCAATATAAGAAGTGCAAAGAAATGAAACTCCAAGTACAGCTTATTCAGGTACAACCATTTCATAAATCTCTTCATATCATAATGTAATTAAGGGCCTATTTCCACCCGAGTATAAATTATATAAAAACAATATCCCAAAATATGAGTCAGGCAATTCCTAACATTATAAATAGTTCATAATTAATATATGTCTATGTTTCCTTTTATTGCTGTATTTATTCTAATATACACGGTAGTGGTAACATTTTAACAACCTAACTATAAAGTATTCATTGTACTTATATTTAAGTTGAATTAAAAATTATTCCCTTAAAAATCCTAACATTCTTTTTTGTACTTAAAAGTGAACTTTTAGATGATCTTTTTAAATTGAGTGTCATTTCTCACCTACAGGGATGTTTCATCAGGTTTCTAGTCTCCTCTTTCAAAGTTAGTATATTTAATCATAATTAAACATTTATTTCACTTAATTTTAGATAACAATGAAATAGTGTGTGTCGTAAGGAAGCATTTAACTAGACTGACGACTGAATATGAGTCTAGTTAGGCAATAAAAATAAAAGGAAAGAAGTTAAGCAGGCAAGAGAAAAGGGGCCTTTAAAAAGCTCTAAAGCTGATATGAAATTGTTTGGCCCTAATGATCACAGTGTACAGAATTTTATACCCACTCTTTTAATATAGATACAAATAAATCAAAATTGTAAGTTAAAAAAGCTCTAAAACTGATATGAAATTGTATGACCCTAACGATCACAGTTTATATAATTTTATACCCACTCTTTTAATATAGATACAAATAAATCAAAATTGTAAATTAATTGTGTTTAACAACATTAAACAAACACTACATTTAAAAATTCCAGTACACTGGGAATATACTGATCCATAACTCATAGTGACAGAAAAGATAAACAGTCCCCTTGACAACATAAAACATTTCCCAAGGTATGCCACAATGCAAACTTGAAGATGAAAATAACTGAAAGCTCATCTTTACTTCAGTTTTGACCTCTAACACAGACTTGCTATTAAACACATCTCTCTTGCCTCTGCTGCTGACTAAACAAACTATTTGAGTTAGGAGAGCCTGCAAAGATATGCCTTACAGGCAAACTTTTGTTTTCTAAAAGTAAATCTCTCCCAGTACTTCCAGTTGGAAAACGTCCACTTCAGCTGCTTGACAACAGGGCGTCACTTTCTCCCTTGGGCTTACCTGCTACTACTTAAGTATTCTTCCAAGTAGACTCTGGACATGTTGGGAGGTAGCTCTTTAAGCACTCCTGATCCACGATGACTACATATGCACACACCTTACACACTCCCACAGGTCCTTCGTACCCTTTCCCCCTCCATCCTCCTCTGAGAACTCACCCAGGCCACCTAGCGCACCTTGCATGGCCAAAGCCTGCCCACCAGGGAGCGAAGAGTACTCCAGGAATAATCCTCAAGATCAAGAAACTTACTGGATTTTAATATGTGGTGGGGAAAAAAAAAAGTGTGTATGTGTGTGGAGGGGGGGTTAGATGGGGGGAACAGGAGCCTTACAGATAGCAGCTATTAAGTGGTTTAAATCTGTTGGTTAAAAAGCTGAATAAACAAATACACACATGGGTCTAGGTCTTTGGGGATTCCGGATTCTGCGGAGCGTCCCAAGCGGTGGCCAGGTCGACCTCTCTTGACTCATCCCTGTGCAAAACGCGCACTGGCTCCGCTTTCCAATCCCCAGACTTGCACCCGTTCTTCCCCTCACGTTCCTTCTAATCAAAGCGTCACCCCATGCGCCAGGTGCCCTAAGAGACTTACCTAAGAGATTCCAGAGTCTGAGAATAGTGAGGGTAACTTTTCCTCCCTGCTCTAGAGAGGCCCCAACACCCACAGCAAGTGAGGGTCCACACTGAGGTCGGGTGTCAGGGCGCGTTGCGGCCTCGCGGGTGGGCAGAGGCGCGCAGAAAACGCGCGGGTGGCGCGCGCGGCCACCCAGTGGGTCCCGCCCGCGCCGCCGGCGCCGCCGCCGCCGCCGCACGTGCGCCGCCGCGAGCGCGAAGGGCGTTCGGACCCGCGCTCTGCCCGCCCGCCTGCCCGCCGGGGCCACTGTGGACTTCCAGGTAACAGCCAAGTGAGAAGCCCTCCCTATCACCGAAAGGTGTCTGCGCTCCTCCCACGTCCCCTCACCAAGTGCCGCGAGGTGCGATTTCACCCCAAACCCACCCACAAACAGCCAGGCGACCTCTCTAAAGCGGAATAAAAGTAAAACCAGGCCAGACACCGGGGGAAGCCGGTCGTGCTAACGCGTGGACAGGGAAAGGAACGCGATCAAGGCAGCAGTCATCCCTGTGCACGGTTATCCCGAAGCGTCAGTAGGGCCCAGGAGTTTCTTGACTCCAGAAACAGGAGTGTCCCCTTTCCATCTCTCTCCTTCCTGGAGAAGTACTTCTGAGATGAACGCTGAAGTGCCCAACTTAGACGCGAGAAGCGTGCACTTGCCCAACTGAGTAAATAAAGGTCAGCAGTTGGATCAATAAAGTGTGTGCTTCTAACCGCCAGATGTTTTTACTGTTGTTTCTCCTCCCGAGGTTGGGGGTGGGGGTGCGGGGAGGAAGGGGAAAAGACAACAAACAATTAAAAAGAAGAGAGTAAACAAACACACATCTGGTGTTTCGACACACATTCTCCTCCAGCCGAGGTCTCTCCGGACGAAGCAACATTTTGCATTATCCAAACTAAAAATCATCCGTGAGCCAACAGCAAATCTCCCCTCTCCACCCCTTTTTCCCCCATCACAAAGCAAAATGAAAGAGAACAACAAGTGGTGATGCTGGGTCCGGAATGCGACCCCAACGCCGAGCCCAAATTTGACACATGTCACACTCGCCCCGGCAAGCAGGGCGCTGCCTTTGGGGCGAAACTTTGTCGCCACCGCGGGAGGAGCGCGGAGCAGAGTAAAGTCGCAGCTCGGCCCAGCGTGGAGGTGGCTGGGACAGGGTGGGGTGCGGAGGTGTAGCGCGCCAGAGTGAGGGCCAAGAAACTTACCGCGACCGGGGACGCCGTGGGCAGCGTCCCGGGAGGTGGCACCCGCGGCGGCGAGGCAGAAGCCCCCAAACAACACACCCACGCGCGAGTCCGGGCAGCTGCTGCCGCGAGTGGGGGGCGCGCCCGGGGAGGGGGGGGGCCGAGGAAGCCGCAGCCAGCGGACGCGGCCGCCGCATAAATAACCGGGGCGGGCGTTCGCGGGCGGGCTGCGGGTGGCGCGGGGCTAGAGCTAGGGCGAAGCGGCGGCCGCGGAGCTGCACGCGCCGGCGTGTCTCGCGCTTTCTCGGAGGCTCGCGCTGTCTCGCGCAGCCGCTCCCCCCACCCGGATCTGTGTGTGTGTGTGTGTGTGTGTGTGTGTCTGTGTGTCTGTGTGTGTGAATGTGCGCTGGCAGGCGCGCGCACCCGGCCGCGCGCGCGTGTTGTTGGCAATGCGAACTGTACACACACTGCTCGCGGGGCTGCCTCTCCTCGGAGGGGCGGGGTGGGGGACAGGACGCCGCAGAGGATTCTGAAGTACCGCCGGACCACTTGTTTGTTTTGTTTTACTTTGCGTTGTTATTGTCGTTGTTGTTGTTGATAGGTTTGGAACCAGCTGGTTAGGATGCCTTTCTCCCCCGTCCACCTATCTCCCCCCGTTCCCTAACTTCTTTAAGGAGGGGGAAACGCGGGGAAGAATATTGTTCGGATTTGCAGCGGAGCCTCCTGGCTGACGTCAGGTCCACCTGCTATGTAAACAACCCGCTGGAGAACTTGTTTGTGCTACGCCAGACCTTCCCCCACCCCCACCCTTCTCCCCACCTCCTGCTCCGCCTTCTCCAGCTCGCCCCAGACGGCGAGTCAGGGAAGGGGGTGGGGAGGGAGGCGAGAACAAAACCGTATGCTGTATTGGCAAAGCCGAGTTGTGTCTGCTGCTTCTTGGCAGTCCCCAAAGTACGTCCTCTCAGCAGACGGAGCTGCTGGCAAATGAAACAGGGGATTCCACTTGAAGTGCAGAAAGCCTCGAAGGGATCCAAAGCCCTCGGTGGCAGGGAGTTAAAAGTACATGGTAGTCGGAAAGGGAGACCCGAGCGTGCGTTAAAGCGCTGATTGGCCTTTCTTTTCACGGTGTGCGCCTCTGCGGCCTGGGGTGGAGAGAGGCCGAGTGTCTTTCTCTTCATTGTTGCCCTGGTTCCTGTCTCACTTGGGCCAAGGAGTTCTCGGGCTTCCTCGTGGTCGCGCAGCCCAGGTCACCGGGGCGCGGCTTGGAAGGAAGGGGCCGCCAAGCTGGGACTTAGAGAGTCTGAGGTTTTCGGGAAGGGTCCTATCAGTGACTGAGGGGAGCAAAAGTAACCGGAAAGAAAGGAAAGAAGAAACGGTCAGAGCCTGCTCCGCGCGCACTTCAAAGCCGAGGCGCCCGCGTGGGGGATGCACGGGCCCAGCCGCCAGCCCTGGGTCCCGGCTTCTATCCACCGGGTGTGACCCGGCTGGGCGGCCTGCTTGGGACCCAGGGCGGTGACAGGGGAAAGGCCGAGGGAGGAGAGAGCGGGCCCCGGAGGGGACGCACGACCGGAATCTTGGCGAGGGGCTTCCTCCGGAGCCCCAGCCCAGAGGGGGGCCAGCGCTCCCTCCCCGCCGTCTCCCTCCGGTCCCTCCCCTGCCCGCGGGCCGGGCGACTCTTCGCCGGCCGCCTTTTCCGCGCGCCGCAGACTGAGCCCGCTGCTTTGCTCGCAAGTCAGTCGCAAAGCGTGGCGTTCCGAGAGGCGCTGAAACTTTCCTCCAAATAGCTGCGGCCAATAGGCCGTGGTGAACAGAGCCTGGCCCCCGGCTGCTTCCCGGCCCTCCTCCCTGGGGAAAGAACGGCCAACTTGAACCCCTCCGGTGGCAGAAGAGGGAGGGGTGGTGGTGGTTGGGGAGACGGGCGAACCGCACTAACTTGTGCCTTTGAATCTTTCCTTTCCTGAAAGAGCAGCGCGCCCTTTCTCTAAAGGGCAGTCGCGAGCTCACACACACACTTGGCACCAACCCTTTCCTTCAGAACCCGCGGCTCTCCCAGGGAGGAAGCAGCCCTGGCACCCACGTCGGTAAACACACCGTCAGGGTTTTTTTAGTGAAACCAATTAAGTCAAAAAGCCATGGGGCTGGCCCTGGGAAGATGGCCCCTGCCAGGAGGAAGAGGAACGAGGTAGAGTTGGACTTTGAATTGCGGTTCTTTCCCTGAGCTTTTCAACTCCGGCAGTCCTCAAGTGCTGTGCCTACAGACTGTGTTCTCACTCTTTTTTAAATCGTCTATTTTGAAATGCAGGCTGAACAGTGGACAAATAATCCGAATCTTTTAAAAGTGGGAGCAGAGACAGAAGGAGGAACAGTCATTATCATTAGAAAACGCCAGCCCCAAATGGCCCTACCTCGCCCTTTTGAAAGGTGGGGATAATTTTATGTTAAGTAATCTGCGTTTATGCTTCACTAGGAAACCTCAATAAAAACGGATTCTGAATAAACTTGAAACTATTTTGGAAAAAAGAAGAGTAAACGACGTGGAAATCCTTGGAAAACTGGGGATGTACCTTTCCAGGGGGGTTATAAATGAAGGGAATAGAACAATCAAAAGGTGGACAGCTTCTCACTTCTTTTTCTTCTTCTTCCCCCGCGTACATCGACCCCACTGACTTCCCTTTTCTCTCCAGGTGTACCGAGTAAGTGAGCGGGAAAGGTTTATTGTAAAAGAGCTAGGGCCACTTGGAAGATCAAGTTCCCAACGAGGAGAAGGAGGGTTAGGGTCTCAAGACTTGGAGAGGAACGAGTTTAGTTAGCCTTTCACTTTTCTGTACACAAAGAAACGTTTTGGTGAAATTCGCAGCCTCTAACGTTCCTTTCTGGAGAGTACAGATAGCCAAGAGGTGCGAAAGGACATCTCAGTCGGAGGAGTATATATTTATAGAGTGGACGCGTACCCTTCCGGGGCCTTTTTCTCAGTGAAACTGAGCCCGCAGCTCCCAAGTGCCCCCGCTCAACTTCGCCCCCATTATCTCCTCCTCGCCTGCTGCCATGCCCCGGGCCACCAACCCATCCCGCAGGGAAGCTGTCCAGGGAGTTGGGAAAACAGGTCCTGTCAGGAGCCGCTGCCCTCGGTGGACCCCTCGGCTGCAGCCAATGGGCTGGGCCCGGGTTCGAGAGGTGAAAGTTCAGGCCCGGGGCTCGCAGCTCGCTTCGCCTCTCCGGCCGCCTCCTTTTCAGCCCCCGCCCCTGGCCACACTGCAGACACGGCCCGGCTACCAGGGGCCGCCACGGTGGCACGTAGTTTGTTGATGGGTGGTCATAAAATATATTTATTTGCAATTCCTTGAACTCGTCCACCACTCCCGCCCCAGCATGGCCCCGAACACTGCAGGCTTTGTTCGCCTCGGCTGCTGCTGGAACTGGCCGGGGTTTAGCGCTCTGTGCTAGCTGACTCCAAAAAAAGTTGAAGTATAATAATAGGAAAACCGGGTTTCCGCAGCCGAGGAAAACGCTGAAAGGGCAAACAGCGATCGAATAGTTTTCTTTTGCACAAGTCACTGGTCAGCCCACTGGATCGAGGCAGCCTTTAAACGAAACGCTGCATATTGGAAAGAGAAGGAAAGCCAAATTCTGTCCCTGTAGTCGCCGCGCAGGGTCATAGGCACGGTTCAGGTCTTCTTTGCAGCACGTGGATCGGCAAAAGTCATTTAAAGAGGTTCCAGAAGAAAGTTCAACGGCTCAACTGGGTGAATGAGGAGTTTCACCAAGTGGACATCAAAGCTTCCTCACGAAAGTTTATTTGATTTCAAGTTTATTTTACGACGAAACCACAAATCAACAAAATTCGAGACACTGCTCTAGTACGGTCCTAGTGAAAGATAAATTCGTTTGAAATGGCCTCTGTCAGCGCATCTTGCGCGAAATAAAACACCGCAGATGAGAGGAAGTATAGCCAAGATGAAGGAAAGCGACGCACGCGAATGACAAATTAGAAATGTTAGTTTACTGCTTCTCCCAGTGAACCTCTTTGATTTTCAGTTATTTTTTATAAAAATATAATTTTTCACACACTTAAGTCTGTTTTTTCCAACACTTTCAAACAACAACTACATTTTTCTCTTTCAGAGCCGTTTTATCTCTGTAATTGTGACTTGTACTTAAATTTCAACTGACTTGGAGAAATCGCTGGGAGAAAGGAAAGGGGGTGTTTTTAAATTACTATTTTTTCCTGTTATAAATAACATCTTCAAAATTGTGCTACTCACTTCAAATAGCCTGTAACTAAAGTCTTAAATGCAAGGTATTTTTCCTTTCACACAGAAAAAACAGTCACATATCAGTTTCCTGTGTTTTCACATCCACTACAGTTTTCTGAAGATGAGCAAATAAGCAGACTCCTTTTAGACGACTTTTCCCCATTCTCCTCCCTGACACATTTAGGGAAAAGAGAAAATTCTAATTTCACCGAAGTCAAATCAAGGGTAATCTATGTTACATCAGACTGAATGGAGATATTGTGAAATTGGTGGAGTTACACCACCATCTGTCGTTAAGCTTAGGGACTACAAAATTTGGGACCTATAATAAATCCTAATGAGCTCTCCCAACTTTTTTTAAAAAAGTCACAGACTATATTTTTCATTTGTGTTTTTATAGCATATACCCTGAATTTACCTGGACCCTGAAGCAATAAATATTTGTTCATAAACCCACACTTCTACCCGGGTTCTCTCATCTTCAGAAGATTAAAAAAATTCTCCACATCTGCCAGCCTTCACATAAAGCCCTTTGGAATCAGCTATGGGCCTGCAGATTTCCGCTGCCCTGCCCCTAGCTTCTCCTAGGCTGCTGGCAGGAACCATGGAGACTCAACAACAGGGGCTACCCATATCCTCCAGTGAACAATACACTTAATTCTCTCTCTAATGTAGCCTAGTTCATTGTTAGTAGGTATATATCTAATCTTGAAAAAACGTAACCACAGCATATCACTGCTAAGAGGTTGGCTCTGAGTGTCCTAAAACTTTGATTGAAAGGCAGTTAATACTAGGTTCCAGTTTTAGTTGATCTTGGTGGAGAGACAAAGATCAATTGCTCTGGGATGGAATCTTGCAGGCTAAGTGGGTTCTATACCCAGGAAAGCTTTATCCAAATGAATATAGAAAGGGGATAACTACTGGATAAAGAATTCCAATACTGAATCAAAAGCCTCCATCAAGCAGTGAAGACTCCGTTTTTTGTTTGCTTGTTTGTTTTTCACAACCCTCCAATCCTCCAATGGCATAGTATTGATATTATATTTCTAAGGATCTTAAAATATTTCACTAGAATGTTGTACCCCTTTCTGTGTTAAGGACTTGATTACCAAATTTCTATTTTCCAGAAAATAAAAATCAATGAAAATAAAGTCTAATCGCTTGTGTATGTTAGTAACACATCAACTAAAAATAATGATGTTAACTTGAATCATATAAATTTGTCTCTATTTGACCAACTTTGAACAACACAAATGACAATTTAATATGGTTCAATTTAATAGATCTTACATTTTTCTGAGACATAGTCTATATAAGAGAAAGCAAAGTTAAATTTCTTCTTACACATTGATTCAAATATGTGGAATTTCCTGATGCAAGAGCTCTTTGTCTGTTAATGTTTCTAACATGAAATTAATCTTAGACATGGTATGTTTCTGAATTACTATGAAATTTTATAACTGAAGGAAACGTCAAGATATTCTAGTCCAATCTCCTCATTTTAAATATCATTAAGCAAAGCCCAGGCATGGAGGAAGCCCACACAGCTAGTTAGTTGGTAAAACTCCACTAGCTTTTGAACTATTTTGTGTTTCTAAACATATAATCAGGTTCCTGTTACTCCAGAAAATGTTTTTTTTTTCTTTCTTTCTTTTTTTTTTTTTTTGCCATACATCTCTATGTCTTTACAGTTTCTTCACATCCATCAAAACTGATGTGGCTCAGTGATGGCAATAGCCTTGGATTTTATTACAGTATTGAAGATGTTAACTGTCATGTCATGTCCACTGTAATACACAGGAGAAAAAAATTCTGATGACTCGTTTCTCTTGAAAGTCAATTAGACTTTACAAGGTTTCTTCGATAGTGTAAAGAGGTTCATTGCAAGTGTTCATCATAGAAAAGCTGATGGCAAGAGGTGTTAAAACAAACCACAGTTTATGATGTTTTTCAGGGTTAATTTTCTTCAGGGACTCATAGGAGAAACCCATAATCTCATCAGCAGCTTACCTTCACTACAGTTTTAAGAAATAAAGGCTAACATGAGGCTATGAGGCAAAATATAACTTTGATTTTTTAAAAGCTATGAGCAAAAAAAGGACTATATCAAGATTTGCATCAGTGCAGATTTTTATTTTGTTTTAATAACCATATGGCTCCTATAATCATAGTAGTTTACCCATAGAACACACAGAAGTTATAATTGTAACAAATCATAAAAAGATTCAGTCATTTATCCTGTTTTCCTTCCCCTTCTTCTCCTTCTCATTCTCCTTCTGTATTTCCCTCTATTTTCCTCCTCCTCCTTTTTCTTCTCTCTGCCATGATCTTTGTCACCACCCTCACAATAACAACTCAAATTTTTCCACAGATATTTCTCTCATGCGCTCCAGATCAATGTATTCAATTGCTTATTGATAGTTCCATCTGGATTGTGCAATGGTACCAATTTGCTCTCTTTTCTCCTTGGCCAGCTGCTTTTTATGCCACCTGGTTAATAGTTAATGGTACCTTAATTCACCCAGTCCCTAAAGCTGAAGCAATGCAAGTCATATGTGCCAACTCCTCCATCTTCTCAAATCCAAGCAGCATTAGTCCTTGTTCATTGTTACCTATTATTTTTTCCATCGTCCTCTTCCATCTGTCCTTATGGTTATTACCTTACCTCAAGTCTTTATAATTTTTTATGTGGTCACTCTTGATTGCTGTCTAATCACCTTTCCTACTTCCAGTCTCTCTTTGTTCCAGTTCATCCTCCTCATTGCTTTCTAAGACGCATCTAAAACACATGTCCCTTAGAATCAGGCAAAGGTTCCCTACGGTCAATGGAGTCAAATCTTAAATTTTCAGTCTGGTGCAACAAAGATGTCTAGCAAATATGAGATATTTAATAGTCTTTTTTGGCATGAATGAATGAATGAATGAAAATCATGCCCCAGACAAATATATTTTATATGTAAAATACTGTAAACATTGTCAGATATATTTTTTTACTGTGTATCATTTTTAGCAAATCCATATATCTGCTTTGCTATCCAAACATCTGGCTAAAATAGTTATAACTGATGATTTTCATATTAAATAACTTAGCAGATAGCTATAAAGGTATATTAAATCTGGCATTCAAATTCCCAACTGCATTACTTAATGGCTCAACAAATATTTATATATTAAGCACTGTGGTAGGTATTCAGGGAATTAAAGATATGTAGGATTAGGTCCATACCCAAACCTCACATTCTAATGAAGGAAATAAGATATTATAAGTAGATTAATTCAATAAACTATAACATAGAGGTTTACGCAGGACACTGTAAGACCAGAGAAAACATTTCTTAAGGCTACAGTAAGAAAATAACACAGTCCTATTTTTTTGTTTCTGATAATCACTTAAAAAATTAAATCTAACAATGTATCTTTTGACTAAAAATATACACTTCGCCAAATACTTGCCTCAGAAAATTTATACTCTTTTGACAAAAGCATGAAGTTGGGGTAAAAATATGATAATATCAAATACAATGGTGGGTTTAACAACTATGAAGAGGGACTCCGTTAATCCCTTAATTTATGTTACTCTTACACAGATGCACTTTTATAAAAAGATTATTTTTAATTTGTCATTATTTTACCACAGGAAAATAGTTTTATAATAGGAACTGAAAGAAAGTGAAAGAAAATTTAAAAACTGAATGAAAGTAAAAGAACATAAATGTTCTCAGTTAATTCACACGTTTTCCTCTCAGTATTTCTCTAACTCTCAAGTAAAGTAAGCAAGTTATCCTGGGCCATCATATTCCCGGGAGACAATCACAGGAAATTGGACTCCCCAGTCTCTTTCTTCCTCCAACCACCTTTTTCTTTCTTTTCTTTCTTTTTTTTTTTTTTTCAAGATAGGGGCTCACTCTAGTCCAGGCTGGAGTGCAATGGTGTGACCTCTGCTCACTGTAACCTCTGCCTCCCGGGTTCAAGCGATTCTCCTGCCTCAGCCTCCTGAGTAGCTGGGATTACAGGCGTACCACCACGCCCAGCTAATTTTGTATTTTTGGAAGAGATGGAGTTTCACCATGTTGGCCAGGCTGGTCTCAAACTCCTGACCTAAGGTGATCAGCCTGCCTCAGCCTCCCAAAGTGCTGGGATTACAGGCATGAGCCACCGCGCCTGGCCCTAACCACCTTTTTCTGTTTCATCAAGGTGCATACCAGTTTCCTTCTACGCCTCTTCTTTTTCATCACTCCCACCTCAGTATATAAACATAGACTTAGCAATACTTTCTCAGTTATAAATTATTTTCCCTCAAAATTCCTTCTCTTTTTCTCATTCTTTTTCATTTAACTCAGCATTTCTCAATAATCATCTTTTCTCTTCCATGCTCTTCCAAGTACACACACACATACACACACTCACACATCATAGTTGCTATGTTTAAGAGCAGAGCTACTCATGTAAGAAATTAAGAAATGAAAACAACATGAACATTTAAAAAAGCAAAAAGCAAACAAACAAAAAAACTAGTGTTATTAACTTTTAAGTCTTTGAAAGTCCCTGGATAAGGAAGCAGTGAAACACTCTTACGCTCCTCTGGAAGTTAAATTGATACAATTAGAAGGCAGTTTCTCAACTTGTGTTAAGGCTGTTAAAATTAGTCCCAAAGCTAGATTGCAATCCAAAAGAAGTAATCTGAAATAGAAACAGAAAAGCTTCATGCAAATGCTGTTTATCATAGAATTATTTATAATAGTACATATTTGGGAGAAATATAAAAGGTCAACACTATATAAGCTTGGTACTAAAATAATATTTACGGGATGTTTTAATGACAAAACGCTTTTGTTACATTATTTGGTGGAACAATAGCATATAAAAATGTACCAAAAGAAGACCAGAAAGAAATATGCCATTGTGATATCACCCTTCAAGATAGTCTGCATTTATCCCCATATTCACACCCTTGTGTAGTCCTCTCCCACACAGTGAGAGGTGACAGCGTGCTGGCAGTCCTCACAGCCCTCCGTCGCTCTCGGCGCCTCCTCTGCCTGGGCTCCCACTTTGGGGGCACTTGAGGAGCCCTTCAGCCCACGGCTGCCCTGTGGGAGCCCCTTTCTGGGCTGGCCAAGGCCGGAGCCGGCTCCCTCAGCTTGCAGGGAGGTGTGGAGGGAGAGGCGCGAGCGGGAACCGGGGCTGCGCGCGGCGCTTGCGGGCCAGCTGGAGTTCCGGTGGGCCTGGGCTTGGCGGGCCCCGCACTCGGAGCAGCCAGCCGGCCCTGCCGGCCCGGGGCAATGAGGGGCTTAGCACTCAGGTCAGCGGCTGCGGAGGGTGTACTGGGTCCCCCAGCAGTGCCAGCCCACCGGCGCTGCGCTTGATTTCTCGCCGGGCCTTAGCTGCCTTCCCGGCGGGCAGGGCTCGGGACCGCCATGCCTGAGCCTCCCACCCCCTCCGTGGGCTCCTGTGCGGCCAGAGCCTCCCCGACGAGCGCCGCTTCCTGCTCCACGGCGCCCAGTCCTATCGACCACCCAAGGGCTGAGGAGTGCGGGCACACGGCGCGGGACTGGCAGGCAGCTCCACCTACAGCCCCGGTGCCGTATCCACTGGGAGAAGCCAGCTGGGCTCCTGAGTCTGGTGGGACCTTGGAGAACCTTTATATCTAGCTCAGGGATTGTAAATACACCAATCGGCACTCTGTATCTAGCTCAAGGTTTGTAAACACACCAATCAGTACCCTGTGTCTAGCTCAGGGTTTGTGAATGCACCAATCGACACTCTGTATCTAGCTACTCTGGTGGGGCCTTGGAGAACCTTTATGTCCACACTCTGTATCTAGCTAATCTGGTGGGGACGTGGAGAACCTTTGTGTCTAGCTCAGGGATTGTAAACACACCGATCAGTGCCCTGTCAAAACAGACCACTCGGCTCTACCAATCCGCAGGATGTGGGTGGGGCCAGATAAGAGAATAAAAGCAGGCTGCCCCAACCAGCAGTGGCAACTTGCTGGGGTCCCCTTCCACGGTGTGGAAGCTTTGTTCTCTCGCTCTTTACAATAAATCTTGCTACTGCTCACTCTTTGGGTCCACACTGCCTTTATGAGCTGTAACACTCACCCTGAAGGTCTGCAGCTTCACTCCTGAAGCCAGCAAGACCATGAGCCCACCGAGAAGAACGAACAACTCCAGACGCGCCGCCTAAAGAGCTGTAACGCTCACTGCGAAGGTCTGCAGCTTCACTCCTGAGCCAGGGAGACCACGAACCCACCAGAAGGAAGAAACTCCGAACACATCTGAACATCAGAAGGAACAAACTCCGGACACGCAGCCTTTAAGAACTGTAACACTCACCGCGAGGGTCCGCGGCTTCATTCTTGACGTCAGTGAGACCAAGAACCCACCAATTCCAGGCACAATAGTTCCAGGCTCTGTTATTGTGGCTAATAATATAAGGCCTAGGTGACAGTATGGCACTTCTGAGTTTAAGTTATGAAAGATGGTGGCTTTCATTTAGGTCTCTGGATCTCTCTCTCTATCACTTTATCTGCCAAGCTGCTGTGTTTTAAGCAGCCCTCTAGAGAGACTTTTATGGTAAGGAAGTATAGTATTATACTATCTGGCCAATAGCCAGAGAAGAATTGAGATCTCCCAACAACCATGTGACTGAACTTGGAAGCAGACCCTTCTTTCCCAGCTGAATCTTCTTGAGATGTCTGGAGCCCTGGCTAACAGCTTAATAACCTCAAGAGAGAATCTGGGCAAGAACGACTCAGGTAAGCCATTCCTGGATACCTGACCCTTGAAACTATGAACTAATAAATATTTGTTGATTTAAAGCTGATAAATTTGAGGTTAGTTGTTACACAGCAATAGATAGCGAAAGCAACCATGATAAGAAAAGTTATATTTAAGTTGTAGAATTTCAGGTTTCTTTTAGAATTACCTCCAATCAATATCCTCTAGTAAAACTGGATTTATCTTAAGCGTAGTACAAACATTAAAGATAAAATTACATTTCAGTCTTTACTTTTTATTTTATTTACTGAAAAGAGTGGTATTGCACATTCTGTAATATAAGCAAATAGCGTTTCTACATATGATAAGTACATTTCATTAACTAGCAGGGTATTTGAATACCATTTACAACATTGTTTCTGAAAAAATGCATTCCAAGTTTTGGGCTTGCTATATAATCCATTTTTACTTGTCAACTTCCTATATATGTCTATCAAAAAAATAATATAGAAAAAAACATTTTAGGCTTTGATTACCTTGACAGGATAACTGTCAGTCTTGTCTTAGGTAAATGAGTAAAAACAATCTATAAACTGAGAAAGACTACTTTCCTAGTTCATATTTAAACATAAGAAACAATCATTGTCTCCTGAGATTTTTCTAATTAGGTTATAGCACAGTTACAGTAGTTCAATGGAGAATGTCAAGGCAAGTTCTAAATTAGTTTAGCAAAAATTAACAAATCAATAAATTTTTAAACTCAAATTACAATAAACATACTAAGACAATGGGTTGCCTAATCTGTTAATAAATATGCTTCTGTCTTCATAATATATTATAAAAACAAAAAATAATTTTATGCCTAGATAATTTTTTGAAAAGTTTAAGTCGTGGAAAGCCATAGAAAGCCATTTATGGATCCTGATCATATTGATTATGTAATCAATTTTAATAATAGCAAGATTGTCTTGTGATTTAAACAAACTAGTAAAGTTAAATAGGCATATAAAATAATTTCCATAACAGGAATATACAATGTGAGCACATTATTTAGTTATTTTGATAATATTCATAGGGTAACTATGAATGGCAAGTACATTGTTGAGTTTACTTCAAGACTATTATACAGAATATTATTAGTGCTTTTATGATCATAAATATAGTTCCTGTCATAAGAATATATGATGTGCATTAGATAAATTTCTGCTAAAGCGCGATTTCATTTCCGTAGCCAAAGAGTCTTACATTTTCTGACTTTTTTTTTGAAGTTAAAAAAATTCTTTTTATTACTTCTATGATCCTTTGTCCATCATGTTGTTGATTCATCTTCTGTAACAATTCTCTTTTCCACCTCCTCACTAAATTCTGTGAATCAGGATCAAAGACAAAGATGTCTGAACTAGTGAAAGAAATGTATGATATTTTAACCAATTGAAGAAAACTCATTGATACCCTCTATGGTTTTTTCAAATAACTAGGTCATTAAGGATCATAAATCATAAAGTACCCTTGCTAGAAAAAATCGGGTATCTGTTAAGCAAAAATCCATGTTCATTAGTCCATGATCCTATATGCAATCAAGTTCAGGTAATTTATTTTTAGATAAAGGATATGAAAACTCTATGTTGGGACATAATGCTATTGGGAAAAGGACACGCAAAAATGAAACATTGAAGGCAATTTGACCTCTAAAATGTGATTAGTAAGATGAGCTCTACCTTGCAGATTTTAGCAGGGAAATGTGGTGAGCATATGTAAGACTTTCAAAGGAAAGGAAGTTCGAACAGCTGTTTGACTGTGAGAATTAGATAAACTATAGTCATAAAACATAAACCCTTTTACTTCCTGAATTCAATTCAGTTTGATTCATTTCAGCAAATATTTATTGAGTCCACATTATTTGTCTGTCAATATTTAATAGCTTAGAATCATAATCTTTGGGTTAGATAAGAGCTTAAAGGTCCCCTAATCCAAGATTCTTCCCAAAGGAAGAATTTGGGTATGGATTTTTGTTATGAAGTGATATTTCTTGGAGTCTTTTCATTAAAAGTAGTTGGGAAACAGAGTCCAGAGATGGCTGCCTACCTAAACTCTTTCCCAAATTTCTTGCATTTCAAAGTAAGTGTCCTCAGAACTTTTCTTGATTACATATTGAGCAGATTATTTCTGGAAATGTATTGCCTAAACTGGAGCTGGAACACTTATTTCATGGAAGATTGCTGTTCCTGCCTCCACTCCCCCAGGCAAACCTGGACTTCTTGTCAACCCTTTGTTATTTCTTTCTAAAGGTTTATAAACTAGTGCTAACTCTTGATCCCTCTACAAGAGGGTCTGGGGCCAGCCTTTTCCTAGGTGATTTTGCTTTTTCATTGCCTCCTCAGTATTGGCTTTG
This sequence comes from Homo sapiens, assembly GCF_000001405.40. Lineage (NCBI taxonomy): Eukaryota > Metazoa > Chordata > Mammalia > Primates > Hominidae > Homo > Homo sapiens. The sequence goes on along the minus strand of NC_000007.14, from coordinate 114,073,271 downwards.
GGTAGAGCATGAGATTCTTACCTTGCTTAGTAGCCACCTTGAACTTTATACTGACTACCTGAGGGAAGTCCTTAATTCTACAGTCATCAAGTTCATCAGTGATTTGGTGCTAAGGAGGGATTCTTTTACCATTAGCAGCTGACACAGCTGGAAGAGAAAACATCTAATGAGCACCTGTTCATTAGGACCAGAACAGGACCAGAAGTCCTGTTCTCTTCTATGGCAGAATGTTGGGGAGTGCTTCCTTGAGAACATCGTAGAGAGATGTGGATGTTTAGGTTTCCTTTGCAGTGGATGCTTAAGTTTCCTTATCTTGCCACTTCTACAGTGCCTTTTGGAGAACTCCCTGGCAGGAGGGGATAATCTTGAAGTAAAAATGTAGGATAATCAGTTACATTTATTGTTAGACATATACCTTTGTTATCAACCATAAGATTAAGTCTAAGATGTTTGTATAAGAAACATAATCTGGGCAGGGTGTAGTGGCTCATGACTGTAATCCCAGTACTTTGGGAAGCCCAAGCGAGAGGATTGCTTATCTGCAGGAGTTCAAGACCAGCCTGGGGAACATAGAGAGACCTGTGTCTCTACAAAAAATTTAAAAATTAGCCGGGCAATGGTGGCGCCTGCCTGTGGTCTCAGCTACTCGGCATTCTGAGGTGGGAGGATCACTTGAGCCCAGGAGGTCGAGGCTGCAGTGAGCCCTGATTGCACCACTGGACGCCAGCCTAGGCAACACTATGTGCTCTTTTCTCAAAAAAGAAAAGAAAAAAGAAAAAAAGAAACATTATCTGTATGGAGATTTGGTGGAGCAGGTTCAGTTAAAAGTATATCAGAGATACGCTGTCTTTGCCATTTACAGTCATTAAACAGAATAGGTGTCACTGTTATTTTGCCAACTATACACTATCTAAGTCTAATATATAATTTGAAAATTATGTAACAAGAGAGATGATTGGACATAGTAATTATTATTTTTTATTTTTAGAATAAAGATAGAAACAAAAGCAAGTTCACCATGAAAAATGATTCTTCTCATTTAGAGACATTTGGGATTCGCATACAATTGGTACAAGAAAGATTTACTGAGAGAAATTTTAACCAATTGATTTTATGTTGCAATTTAAAATATCATATAAGGAACTTGTATTACTAATAAGTTTTCAATTTTTTTAGCTGTGTATTCTGACATTTTCTATTCTAAAATAAATCTCTCACTCTATTTTCAGTTTTTGATTGCTGGTTCTGATTTTTGTAGATTTCCGACTTTCATGGAGGCAGTACACTTATGAGTGTTTAATTTACTGATGTGTAAATGTTAACACAGGTAATTTTGAAAATCCTTAAAGTTAACCAGTTACTAATTAGATTAGTCCTTTTGAAAGTGAGTTTAAATTTTGCCATATATTTTACAAAGTAGACATTCAGAAAAGGGAAGAGACCTACTATTTGGACAGAAGCACACATATAAATGAAAATGACAACTCGTTATACTAAAAATAAATTTATAAATTGAACTTTATCAAAATTAAACCTTTTAATCTGTGAAAGACCCCGTTAAAAGGATGAAAAGACAAACTACTGGGATAAAATATTGGCAAACCACATATCTGAAAAGAAATTTTGTCTAGAACATATAAAGTTTCTCAAAACAGAACAGTAGAAAAATGATAGTCAATTAGAAAATTGTCAAAAGACATGAGAAGACGTTTCACCAAAGAGGATATACAGATAGCAAATATGCACGTGAAGCGATATTTATCATCAGTAGCTATTACATATCCATTAGAACTGCTAATATAAAAAATAGCAGCAATATCAAAGGCTGGCAAGGATGTGGAACAACTGGATGTCTAATGTGTTGCTGGTGAGAATATAAAATGGTACAGCCACTCAGAAAAATAGTGTGGCAGTTTACTTTAAAACTAAACAGATTCTATACAACTGAGCAGTTGCACTCCTGGGCATTTATCCCAGAAAAATGAAAATTTAGGCCTACACAAAAACCTGTAAAGGAATTTTTATAGCAGCTTTATTTGTAGTCTCCTCAAACTGTAAAAACCCAAAATATTCATCAATATGTGAATGGTTAAACAAACTGTGGTACATGTATACATTGGAATACTACTCACCAATAAAAATGCAATGGACTATTGATACATATAATACCTTGCATGGATTAAGGACATTATGCTGAGTGAAAAAAGCCAATCTCAAAGGTCACATAGTATATGATTCCATTTATGTAACAATCTCCACATAAATTATGGAGGTGGGAACAGATTGGTGGTTTCCAGAGATTAGTGGTCATGGAGTAAGGGAAACAGCCCTGACTATAAAGGAGTAGCATAGGAGATCTTTCTTGGGATGGAATAGTTCTGTTTTTGTTTTTTTTCTATTTCTCTGGTGGCTATACAGAAATACATATGTGATAAAATGTTACAGAACTGTACATCATACCAATGTCAGTTTCCTGGTTTTAATGTTGTACTATAGTTATGTAGGGTGTAATCATTGGGGGAAACAATGAAAATTACAAAGAACCATTCTGTATATTTGAACCTTCCTGTGACTATCTATTTCAAAATAAATAGTAAAAAAAAATTAAAATACATATGTAAAACCAATGGAGAAGCCAAAAAGGGATTGTAATAAAACCAGAGGAGATAACTACTGCCACAGGCCTAAACAGACAGTTTATGTCCCTGGGTAATATTTAAGAAAAATATCCTCTCATTGTTTTGTTGAACAGTAATGCTTATTTCCACATGTCTAACCATAAGAGGACTCCTGTGAGATAAAGGCATTCTGGAGATGAATGGTGGTAATGATTGCACAATCATGTGCATGTGCTTCATGGCACAGAGCTGTACACTTGGCAGTGTTTGAAATGATATTTTGTCTTGAATATATTTTACTACAAACACAAAATAGTGCTCCTTTGGGTTCCACCTCTGGCAGCTGGGAATTGATTCTTCCTTTTTGTGTATTCATGATCCTTGTAGAAGGAGAGACTAATATGCAAAAGCGGGAGTTCAATCTAACAAAAAAGAAATTGAGCAAAGAAAGAATAAAATTAATTGTTTCCTTTGGATTTTTAAATGCATATTATATAAAGAAATTCTGTACCTTGAAGGAACATATAGGCTTGATTTTGTTTTCCAAAATGCCAGTGCTGTTATTGTTTATTTTTCCTTAATATAAAAATTAATATATGTTCATGGGAAAAATTATATAATACAGAGAGAAATAAAGAAGGAAGTATACATTAACCAAAATCCCACTATCAAGAAATTACTCTTTTTCTTTCTCTTTTCTTCTCTTTCTCCTCTTCTCTTCTCTTCTTTTCTTTTCTTTCTGATAGGGCCTTGCTCTGTCCTCCAGGCTGGAGTGCAGTTGTGCCATCACAGCTCACTGAGGCCTCGATCTCCCAGGCTCAGAGGATCCTTCCACCTCACCTCCCAGGTAGCTGGGACTAAAGACATATACCACCATCCCTGGCAAATTTTTTGTTTTTTGTAGAGACTGGGTCTTACTTATAATTGTTGCCCTGATTGGCCTTGAACTCCTGGGTTCAAGTGGTCTGATCCTCCTGCCTTGGCCTCCTAAATTGCTGGGATTACAGGTGTGAGCCACTGTGCCCAGGCAAGAAATTACCATTTCTAACATCTTAGCATATATGCTTCCCCAGTGATTTTTGTTTATACACCACACACACACACGCACACACACACACACACACTTACACTGAAATATGCCTTTTCACTTAACTATGTTGTATACATTGTTGTATATAAATTAACCTAGAGCTACATAAAAATTTGTAAGAAAGCAGATGTATGATTGAACTATGGTTTAATCAATCAATTATTATATATCAGTTTCTGATAGAGGTGTGCTGAATTTCCTGAAATAATTATAAATTTGTCCACTTCATTTGTAACTCTGTTATTATTGCTTCATATCCTTTAAAAGTATGCAATTAAGTGAAAACCATTCATGATTTGTTTTATCTTCTTGATATATTAATCCTTTCATAACTACAATGTGTTTCTCCTCATTCTTATTATTGTTATGATTTACCTCTGAGGATAGTTTAGTGGTTCCTACAAATATTTGGAAAGGTAACATTTTTAGTTTAGTTTAATGCTAAGAACATTTTAATTTTGCTTTTTTAAAAAAAGCAGTTTAGGATATGTTATTTTGTTTCCAGATAGGTAGAATTTCAAAAACTTTTGTTACTGATAATTGTATTACTGTGGAACATAATTTACCTGATATTTATTAATGCTTCTCTTACGAACTAGCAAAAGGATAATTTTTCCAACATTTCATGTGTGATTGAAAATAGTTTTGGTTATGGAGTCATATGTCTTCTAGTTTTAACTTGTTAACTGTATTCTTCATATCTTCTGTATCTTTGCTTATTTTTTGTTTGTTTGATTTAGCTGATTTGAGAAGGCTATAAAAAAACTTCTACTATAATAGTTATTGATTGTTTATCCCCTCCCCATTCAGGTCTGTTATTTGTTATGCATACTTTTGAAGCTATATGTTAGATGCATATGTGTTATTGAAACATTCTTGTTATTTTATTATTTTTATAATGATGCACTATTCTAGTATCTATTTTTAGTGATGAAAAAATGTTGCTGTCAGTCTATTGTTCCTTAGGAGTTAATATCATTTTTATTTTTGTACCCTTTAGAATTTTATATTTATTTTAGATAGGCGAACTTGTGTTTTTATTTCTAGGAAGTTCTGTTATTATATCTTCAAATAACACTTCCTTGTCGTGTCCTTCACTGCTCTACTTCCAAAATTCTCATGCGATGTGTGATGGAGATCGTTGGTCTATCGCCCGTCTTTCTTAATTGTTCCTTCATATTTTCTCTCTTTCTATATCTCTAGGCTATATTTTACATTAGTTTCTCAGCAGTATCTTCAATTCATTAATTTATGTTATTACTATGATCTGTTTTGGTCTAGAGTTTGTCTCAAAAATTAGATCTCTATATTTCAATGACTGTATTTTTTATTTCAAGCTTTTCTCATAGTTCTTTTTTACACCTACCTCTTATTTTTAAAAATTTGTGCCTGATTCTATTTTATACTTGTTGTTCTTTTAATGTATAGTTTGCCTTGATTTGTGTCTATGAGCAATCCAAAACATACCTATTTTAGAGTCTTTATCCAATTTTTCCAAGATATTAATTTTATCTGAGGTGCATTCATTTTCAAATTTTGTTTTGCTGTTGTTGACTTCCAGTAGTGTGTTTATGATTCTGATGTCCAATTCTGGCCTCATCCCTTTATCAGTTCGAATCCTGTGTCCTGTGAAGGGGACTATATTGCAATCAGGTTCAACACATGATGATAATGTACTTTGCATGTATGTAAAACTATAGCCAGACAGGTGGAGGAATCAGAGCCATATGTGCACGAATCATATCTAAAACTGACATATTAGGGCTACTTAATTTATCTATGTATAAAATTTACAACCAGCTGTTGGGGAAGTAACAAAACCAGTGAAATCATAGGACAATTATAGAATAATCAGCAGAAGCTAGAATAATCATATCTAGGACCCACATATAAGGGTTCCCAAATAATAACTCTAGGCTTCCACATTTCAATGACATTTGCTTCCACTGCAGGGATGCATACTGTCTCTCTGCTCTCCTAACACTGGAAGGTAAAGTGTTTAGCAGGAGATTCAGGACCTTCAGCTGATAAGAGCTGTTGATTTAAACCTATTCCTTAGTGATGGTGTAGGCCAGGAATCAGCAAGCTTTTTCTGTAAATAGCCAGATCATAAATATTTTAGCTTTGCAGGTCATATGGTCTATGTCACAACTATTCAACTCTTCATAAAAAGAGCCATAGTAAAATATTTAGACTATTGAGAGCGCTATGTTCTAATACAACTTTATTTATGAGCACCATAATTTGAATTCTTATACTTTTTATATGTCATGAAATGTTATTTTCTTTAGATTTTTGTCACTAACATTTAAAAATGTAAAACTATCTGTGGACTGTACAAAAACAAGCGCTAGATCAGATTTGCTAATTCGTGGTCTAGGCAGCCACTGGGAATAAAGCAAGCATCCTAGCTAGAAGGCTACTAATAGGCCATTGCCAACACCTACCTGGACGTTAAGATGTTAAGGTTAAGGCCCTTTATCCCCATCACAAAGAATTGTGTGTGTGGTGTGGATTAACAAGAAAATTTGAGTTACACAGATTATATAATTGCATATTTGATAATATTTTGTTGTGTTCAATAATTCTATCATCACTTTAAATATTTTGAAAAGTTTTTACATTATTACCTGAAAGTTATTGGGGTAATTGTAGCAAAGTTCATTGTAGATCTTAGATACCTGTAGTTTTGAGAGTATTTTAACATTAGATTTCTACCAGTGATTTGGAATTTTGGCTTGCAGGATATCTTGAGGAAGAGAGATTTACTATGTTGCCGGTTTGTTGTTGTTTTTCCCTCAGTCTCCTTTAACTGTCTTTATTCTCACACCGATGTATTTAACAACTTTGTGTTGACTGTACCTGCATCCTGATCCCACCACCTCCCTACGTCTGCCATGAGCTAGTCTCAGGCAGTATGTGAAACCAGTAATATTTTTTCTGTCTCCTTCAGTGAGGTTGACTTTGGTCCTCCTTCCTTTTGGAACATATTCTGTCCCGTTTTTTCTACAGGAGCTATACTCCTGGTAACCACTGCTTGTAACAGCAGGTATGTTTCAGCCTTACAAGCTGCTTTGTATTTCTGTTCCAGGGAGATTTTTATCTTGTTATTGAGTCCAGAGTTTCTGATTTTCCATTTTATTTCTCACTGCTATAATTTTGAGCCAAGGGAGCGCTCTTTATTCAAAGTCTCACCTATCATTTACTGATAGAAAATCTTTATATATATATGTATACACACACACACACACAGACACACTTGTATTTTTTTCTTTTAGTACAAATTCACTAAAGTGGACATCCTATGTAAAGGATATGTGTAACATAAATTCTTAGTCCTGTTGACATACAGCAGATTGTGCTCTTTCCTCCACATCGTATCCTACACAACACTTTTTTTAACCAGCTCTTATCTCTACCAGATTAAACAAAAAATAGTTCTTCTTGTTATTGTATGCTTTTTCCTTCACCACTTTTATTGAAATACAATTTACATAAATGGGTTGCAGAATATTAAGTACAAAGTTCAGTGAGTTCTGACAAATGCATATATTCATGAAACCCCTACTTCCATCAAGAGATTTAACTTTTATATCACCCTAGAAAGAGCACTTTGTTTTCCAGTCCATCACACAACCATACAAAGGAAACCATTCTTTTGATTTATTCTACCACAGGTTAGTTTTACCTGTTTTAGAGCTTCATACAAATTGGCTCCTATCATCTTTTGTGTCTGGCATCTTTCACTAACGTAACAATTTTGAGACTTATTTGTGTTGTTCATATCATTAGTTCATTCCTTTTTATTCCCAAGTAGTATTCCATTGTACAGATATACTATAATGTCTTTATTCACTTATTGATGACTATTTGGGCTGCTTACAATTTGGGGATGTTAGAACTATCTGAATTTTTCATTTTTCAGTCAGCGGTTCTCATATTATTTGTTAAATGCAAAACAAAAAGCAGCAGCAACAACAGCTATAATAACAAACCCCAAAACAAAACCAGAAAACCCTTGTGTTCTTTAATAATTATTTTGTGTTAAGCAATAGAATAGTTGACTAACAGTGATTTAAGCCATAAAAATAATTATTGTGCCTTAAAAAGAAACCTGATGATACGGTTTCAGGGTTGGCCCAGTGGCTTAAATATGTTGTTAATGCACTGGATATTTTTTATTTTTTAATTCCACTATCCTTGGTGTATTGATTCTTATATTTGGGACCTTATGCTTGCAAGATGGTTCCAAAAGCTCCAGGCATTATGTACCTGCTCACTGCAAGTAACAGGGGGATGGGGCAGTTTTAGCACGTTCACTTCCGTGCCATTTTATAAGAAAGAAAATCTCTGCCAAAGCTCCCCAACAGACTTTCTTTCATGTCTCATTGCCCTGAATTATGCCTCAGGAGTAGCTGGGAATGGGGGCAAAATTCTAAGATTGGCTTCCTTGAAATGATCATGTTTCATCACTTGGAGCCAAGTCCATTGTCAAGACAGACAAAGTAGGGTTCTCTTAGCAGAGATATTAGAGGGAAATGATGATAGATTTGGAACTAGTAGTGTTTGCCACAATACTTTTCCTTCATCTCTTTTTATTAATCCATATTTCTTTCTTATTTGAAGTTTCTTCTTCTGCCATTTCAAACATTCTTCCAGTGGCACTCATAGAGGTATATGTGATATAATTTTTATTTTATTGTGTGTGTGCATTTTGAGATGTCCCCCTTGTGTGTGTGTTCTAAAAGAGACTATAGATAAATAAAAGGCAATACTTAGAGCAAAATATAATCCCCTAAATATTTTTCTTGGATTTTGATATCTTGTCCATATTGAAGAGATGCCCTAGAAACATATAGCTTCTCTCCTAACTTTACCATGTCCCAGGAGGAAATATTCCTAATGTTCTGTTCAAATTTTCCGTCCTTTTTAAGTCAGCCATTTTTGTTATAACTCAAAATGTTATATTTAATATATACCAGCTGTATAAGAGTAACCTTGAATTTAGGATATGATAGACTAAAACGAAAAGCTTTTATCACAGCTTCCTATATACATTTTCATCAACTCATATGGTACACATCTGGGCCTTTGATAGCTATGTGTGTAAAAAAATCCCTGTTATCTTCAAAATTAATTTTAAATCTTGTGTTTTTCTCTTTTTCAGTCACTTAAAAGGATAAATATTAATGGACATAATCATGAAACTATCTGTGAAAGTCATTTGAAGATAGTGATAAAGGCGTATTGACAGAATCTACATTTGATACATTGAAAAAAATCATTGAAAAAGAAGGCAGAAATAAATGAACAATGATTGAATACCAGTAAACTTGGTGCTTTGCACACTGCCTTTGATTTCATTCTCCCAAAATATCTGTGAAATAGATATTATTTGTCATTTGCAGATGAGAAAACTAAGGCTCAGGGAACTTATTTGTCCTAGGTCACACACATACAAAAACCCAAGAAACAATAAAAAGAAAGAAAGAAAAACACAATAAAAATTATCCCTACCTTGAGGGTAAATACCAGTTCTGTGCATTTATTTATTTATTTATTTATTTAAGATGGAGTCTTGCTCTGTCGCCCAGGCTGGAGTGCAGTGGTGCGATCTCGGCTCACCGCAACCTCGGCCCCGTGGGTTCACGCCATTCTCCTGTCTCAGCCTCCCGAGTAGCTGGGACTGCAAGCGCATGCCACCATTCATATAAAAATATTAACAAATAATGAGCAACCAACCAAACACCCTAAAGAAGCCAAGTCAATGCAAACATAGGTGATATCAGAGAACTCTTTTTTTATGTTGGAGACATGAAAAATGTAATTTAGAAAACCCGAGAAAACATAACATTTAAATGTAGAATGGATCTCCCACTTTATCATTATTTCCATCACAAGCAAACGGTTTCTTGTGTTCTAATATCTAGCACTGTTAACTTTTATTCCATCAAAGGCACATGCCAGATGGATTTAGAAAGGTTTAATTAAATAAAATTTGTTCACTAATCAGATAATTCAAATGGGTTGAAAAACAGAATACCAGAAAAACAATGTGAAAAATTTACTAGACTTTGAATCCAGTGCAAATGTGAAACAAACCTAAAACAAAACCGTCACACAGTTTGGGCAGTGAAAGCACTAGAAGGAAGTATCATCAAAGGATTTAAACCCAATGAATTTTATGGGACACTGTCACGCAAAACGGAACTGTGATAACAGAATAGACAATAAGAGTGAGAAAAAGGGTGAGAGGGAGTGAGGGTGTATGGTGAAGAAAAACAGAATAAAGGATCTGGGCTGTGTGTTAAGGGAAAAATGGGGGCTCCTTCCATACAGATGGGAATCAGTGTCCAGAGCCTTGCAGGCAAAGAAAAGAAGTGTGATGATATAATTACAAAAGCAAGTTAATGGATAGATGAGAAAAGCCTTACCATAGTTAGAGTAACAGGAGGGCAAAGCCACTTTGGCAGAGGCATTTAGGCCAAGCGCACTATCAAGGAGCAAGTCTGAACAGATTGAAAAACAAGTAACCTTAGAGTCAGAAGTCACTGTGGGCGTGTCTGTGGGTGTGTCTGTGTGTGTGCATGCACTATGTGTTTGGGCATGGGAGTGGGGGGGTGTCTGAAAGTGTAGGAGTAAAAGAACACCTTTTCCAGAAATCTCGATTTTATTGTCTCATAGTTGAAATATTACAACTAATTATTCTATGATATAGAATGTCAAATTCTAATGAATTGTTAAGATAAATATTATTTATTTTTAATTAACAAATACAAATTGTGTATATTTATCATGTAAAATATGTTGTTTTGAACATTGTGAAATGGAGCTAATTAGCATACACATTACCTTACCTGCTTTTTTTTTTTCGTGGTGAGAAAACTTTCTTCCAGAAGTTAAATTCTTCTTAACAATTTTCAAGAATACAATACATTAGCTGTAGTCACTATTCTTTAAGACAGAGCTCTTGAACTTATCCTCCTATCTTAAGATAAATTATTAATCACCAAATATACATATGTCTTACCAAGGTTTCAGGGATCCACTCATTCTGCTCTGCCACTGAAGCACCTCTGCAGGAAGGTTTGAAAACTGGCTTAGAAGAAATATAAAAAAGCAAAAGCAACTCTCCAGAGAAATTATGTATAAATTAACATATAATAACCCAGTGAATTTTAGCTTCTGCTGATTGTTTACTTTTTATTAAATTATTAATGAATTCCAAGAACATATTCTCACTTTTTTTTGCTAGGGTAGAATTTACAGAAACAATTAAAGAGCCAAAGGAGACTTAAAGACAATCTAATACATTTCCCTCATTTTATGGACTGATACCTCAAAAAACTGTGATTCAAATATGCTTTTTTTATATGTATTTTTTCTTTTACGTCTGGTTTCATTAGCATTGATTTTTAAAGTTTCTCTTTAATTGTTGAAATTGGGACTCTGATATATTATCCTGAGTCCATTAGAATGAAAAAAAAATCTTTTATTTTCTTTTTCATCTTAGAGAAGGAATGATGAAGTGATTATCATTAAGGAAATCAAATACCTTTGTAGTCAAATAATTAGCCTTTCATCTTCTGGTAATGAAGCAAGCCTTGAGTTTTGGGAAACAACATTCATTCATTTAACCCATATTTTTTGGTTGAAAAGAAATGTGGTCTTCTAGATAAGACACTGATTTGTAGAATGCATCTTAAAAGCTAAAGATATTGGGTTAAAAAACACTATCATATTCAAAATTCTTCAATTGCTTGTCAAAACTGCAGAATGAAACCTAAAATCTTCTGCTTAGCACAAAAGCCCATTATGTCTACTGCATACTCCTTCAGTCTAGTTTTCCCCTTGTCTGCTCCCTCCTTTCATTGATCCCCCTAGACTTTTATTTTCCTTACTGCCTTGCACTTCCTAGAATTTGTTATTTTCCAATTAACCAAGTCAAAGAAAACTTAAGAGAATTGCCCGAGTCTTGCCAAGAATTGCCATCACTGCAGTAATGTGTTGTAGCTACTCATTAGAAATAGATCTTAGGACTCCACATTCAGCATATCTGGTGTAGAGATGCCCTTATAAAAGGGACCCAGATTTGAATACACACACACACAGACACACACACACACAGATAAATGTCATAACCCTGGAAAATATACAGTGAAGTATCCTTAGGCATAGCTGCACATCCTGTGAACTCTCTGGTTTTTATTATTCACTATACTGGTGTGGAGTATGCTCAGACAAAATTTTGCTTTAAGAGAGACTGCCTTGTCCACTCTAAGGCAACAAAATATTTATGCCCCTTTTTAAGTAAGGTCCATGTAGTCCAGATACCACTCTATAATGTCTATGTGGGATCTTTCACTTTGGGTTTTATAAATATAATGAAAATACTTTTTCATTATATCCACGATGTGGCGATATGAGAATTGCATACATTAAAAAAATTGTAAACATTTATACATTCATAAATAACAAGAAAAACCTATAAATATTCTTTTTTTTATTATACTTTAAGTTTTAGGGTACATGTGCAGAATGTGCAGGTTTGTTACATATGTATACATGTGCCATGTTGGTGTGCTGCACCCATTAACTCGTCATTTACATTAGGTATATCTCCTAATGCTATCGTTCCCCCCTCCCCCACCCCTCAACAGGCCCCGGGATGTCATGTTCCCCTTCCTGCGTCCAAGTGTTCTCATAGTTCAATTCTCACCTATGAGTGAGAACATGCGGTGTTTGGTTTTTTGTCCTTGCAATAGTTTGATGAGATGATAGTTTCCAGCTTCGATGTCCCTACAAAGCACATGAACTCATCATTTTTTATGGCTGCATAGTCTTCCACAGTGTATATGTGCCACATTTTCTTAATCCAGTCTATCATTGTTGGACATTTGGGTTGGTTCCAAGTCTTTGCTATTGTGAATAGTGCCACAATAAACATACATGTGCATGTGTCTTTATGGCGGCATGATTTATAGTCCTTTGGGTATATACCCAGTAATGGGATGGCTGGGTCAAATGATATTTCTACTTCTAGATCCCTGAGGAATCGCCACACGGACTTCCACAATGGTTGAACTAGTTTACAGTCCCACCAACAGTGTAAAAGTGTTCCTTTTTCTCCACATCCTCTCCAGCACCTGTTGTTTCCTGACTTTTTAATGATTGCCATTCTGGCTGGTGTGAGATGATATCTCATTGTGGTTTTGATTTGCATTTATCTGATGGCCAGTGATGATGAGCATTTTTTCATGTGTCTGTTGGCTGCATAAATGTCTGAGAAGTGTCTATTCACATCCTTTGCCCACTTTTCGATGGGGTTGTTTGTTTTTTTCTTGTAAATTTGTTTGAGTTTTTTGTAGATTCTGGATATTAACCCTTTGTCAGATGAGTAGATTGCAAAAATTTTCTCCCGTTCTGTAGGTTGCCTGTTCACTCTGATGGTAGTTTCTTTTGCTGTGCAGTAGCTCTTTAGTTTAATTAGATCCCATTTGTCAATTTTGGCTTTTGTTGCCATTGTGTTTGGTGTTTTAGACATGAAGTCCTTGCCCATGCCTATGTCCTGAATGGGATTGCCTAGGATTTCTTCTAGGATTTTTATGGTTTTAGGTCTAACATTTAAGTCTTTAATCCATCTTGAATTAATTTTTGTATAAGGTGTAAGGAAGGGGTCCAGTTTCAGCTTTCTACATATGAGTAACCAGTTTTCCCAGCACCATTTATTAAATAGGGAATCCTTTCCCCATTTTTTGTTTTTGTCAGGTTTGTCAAAGATCAGATAGTTGTAGATGTGTGGTATTATTTCTGAGGGCTCTGTTCTGTTCCATTAGTCTATATCTGTTTTGCTACCAGTGCCATGCTATTTTGGTTACTGTAGCCTTGTGGTATACTTTGAAGACAGGTAGCATGATGCCTCCAGCTTTGTTCTTTTGGCTTAGGATTGACTTGGCAATGTGGGCTCTTTTTTGGTACCATATGAACTTTAAAGTAGTGTTTTCCAGTTCTGTGAAGAAAGTCATTGGTAGCTTGATAGGGATGGCATTGAATCTATAAATTACCTTGGGCAGTATGGCCATTTTCATGGTATTGATTCTTCCTACCCATGAGCATGGAATGTTCTTCCATTTGTTTGTATCCTCTTTTATTTCATTGAGCAGTGGTTTGTAGTTCTCCTTGAAGAAGTCCTTCACATCCCTTGTAAGTCAGATTCCTAGGTATTTTATTCTCTTTGAAGCAATTGTGAATGAGAGTTCACTCATGATTTGGCTCTCTGTTTATCTGTTATTGGTGTATAAGAATGCTTGTGATTTCTGCACATTGATTCTGTATCCTGAGACTTTCCTGAAGTTGCTTATCAGCTTAAGGAGATTTTGGGCTGAGACGATGGGGTTTTCTACATATACAATCATGTCATCTGCAAACAGGGACAATTTGACTTCCTCTTTTCCTAATTGAATACCCTTTATTTCCTTCTCCTGCCTGATTGCCCTGGCCAGAACTTCCAACACTGTGTTGAATAGGAGTGGTGAGAGAAGGCATCCCTGTCTTGTGCCAGTTTTCAAAGGGAATGCTTCCAGTTTTTTCCCAGGCAGTATGATATTGGCTGTGGGTTTGTCATAGATAGCTCTTATTATTTTGAGATACGTCCCATCAATACCTAATTTATTGAGAGTTTTTAGCATGAAGCGCTGTTGAATTTTGTCAAAGGCCTTTTCTGCATCTATTGAGATAATCATGTGGTTTTTGTCATTGGTTCTGTTTATATGCTAGATTGCGTTTATTGATTTGCATATGTTGAACCAGCCTTGCATCCCAGGGATAAAGCCCACTTGATCATGGTGGATAAGCTTTTTGATGTGCTACTGGATTCGGTTTGCCAGTATTTTATTGAGGATTTTTGCATCGATGTTCATCAGGGATATTGGTCTAAAATTCTCTTTTTTTGTTGTGTCTCTGCCAGGCTTTGGTATCAGGATGATGCTGGCCTCACAAAATGAGTTAGGGAAGATTCCCTCTTTTTCTATTGATTGGAATAGTTTCAGAAGGAATGGTACCAGCTCCTCCTTGTACCTCTGGTAGAATTCGGCTGTGACTCCATCTGGTCCTGGACGTTTCTTGGTTGGTAAGCTATTAATTATTACTTCAATTTCAGAGCCTGTTATTGGTCTATTCAGAGATTCAACTTCTTCCTGGTTTAGTCTTGGGAGGGTGTATGTGTCGAGGAATTTATCCATTTCTTCTAGGTTTTCCAGTTTATTTGTGTAGAGGTGTTTATAGTATTCTCTGATGTTAGTTTGTATTTCTGTGGTATCAGTGGTGATATCCTCTTTATCATTTTTTATTGCATCTATTTGATTCTTCTCTCTTTTCTACCTTTTTAGTCTTGCTAGCGGTATATCAATTTTGTTGATCTTTTCAAAAAACCAACTCCTGGATTCACTGATTTTTTGAAGGGTTTTTTCTGTCTCTATCTCCTTCAGTTCTCCTCTGATCTTAGTTATTTCTTGCCTTCTGCTAGCTTTTGAATGTGTTTGCTCTTGCTTCTCTAGTTCTTTTAATTGTGGTGTTAGGGTGTCAATTTTAGATCTTTCCTGCTTTCTCTTTTGGGCATTTAGTGCTATAAATTTCCCTCCATACACTGCTTTAAATGTGTCCCAGAGATTCTGGTATGTTGTGTCTTTGTTTTCATTGGTTTCAAAGAACATCTTTATTTCTGCCTTCATTTCATTATGTACCCAGTAGTCATTCAGGAGCAGGTTGGTTAGTTTCCATGTAGTTGAGCAGTTTTGAGTGAGTTTCTTAATCCTGAGTTCTAGTTTGGTTGCACTGTGGTCTGAGAGACAGTTTGTTATAGTTTCTGTTCTTTTACATTTGCTAAGGAGTGCTTTACTTCCAACTATGTGGTCAGTTTTGGAATAAGTGTGGTGTGGTCCTGAGAAGAATGTATATTCTGTTGATTTGGGGTGGAGAGTTCTGTAGATGTCTATTAGGTCTGCTTGGTGCAGAGCTCAGTTCAATTCCTAGATATCCTTGTTAACTTTTGTCTCGTTGATCTGTCTAATGTTGACAGTGGGGTGCTAAAGTCTCCCATTATTATTGTGTGGGATTCTAAGTCTTTTTATAGGTCTCTAAGGACTTGCCTTATGAATCTGGGTGCTCCTGTATTGGGTGCATATATATTTAGGACAGTTAGCTCTTCTTGTTGAATTGATCCCTTTACCATTATGAAATGGCCTTCTTTGTCCCTTTTGATCTTTGTTGGTTTAAACTCTGTTTTATCAGAGACTAGGATTGCAACCCCTGCCTTTTTTTGTTTTCCATTTGCTTAGTAGATCTTCCTCTATCCCTTTATTTTGAGCCTATGTGTGTCTCTGCATGTGAGATGGGTCTCTTGAATACAGCACACTGATGGGTCTTGACTCTTTATCCAATTTGCCAGTCTGTGTCTTTTAATTGGAGCATTTAGCCCATTTACATTTAAGGTTAATATTGTTATGTGTGAATTTGATGCTGTCATTATGATGTTAGCTGGTTATTTTGCTCGTTACTTAATGCAGTTTCTTCCTAGCCTCGATGGTCTTTACAATTTGGCATGTTTTTACAGTGGCTGGTACCAGTTGTTCCTTTTCATGTTTAGTGCTTCATTCAGGAGCTCTTGTAAGGCAGGCCTGGTGGTGACAAAATCTCTCAGCATTTGCATGTCTGTAAAGGATTTTATTTCT
The DNA here is from genome assembly GCF_000001405.40 of Homo sapiens. Taxonomy (NCBI): domain Eukaryota; kingdom Metazoa; phylum Chordata; class Mammalia; order Primates; family Hominidae; genus Homo; species Homo sapiens. Next base: position 114,056,835 of record NC_000007.14, on the reverse strand, counting down.
CCTTCACTTATGAAGCTTAGTTTGGCTGTATATGAAATTCTGGGTTGAAAATTCTTTTGTTTAAGAATGTTGAATATTGGCCCCCACTCTCTTCTGGCTTGTAGAGTTTCTGCCGAGAGGTCAGCTGTTAATCTGATGGGCTTCCCTTTGTGGGTAACCCGACCTTTCTGTCTGGCTGCCCTTAACATTTTTTCCTTCGTTTCAACTTTGGTGAATCTGACAGTTATGTGTCTTGGAGTTGCTCTTCTTGAGGAGTATCTTTGTGGCGTTCTCTGTATTTCCTGAATCTGAAGGTTGGCCTGCCTTGCTAGATTGGGGAAGTTCTCCTGGATAATATCCTTCAGAGTGTTTTCCAACTTGTTTCCATTCTCCCTGTCACTTTCAGGTACACCAATCAGATGTAGATTTGGTATTTTCACATAGTCCCGTATTTCTTGGAGGCTTTGTTTGTTTCTTTTTATTCTTTTTTCTCTAAACTTCTCTTCTCTTTTCATTTAATTGATTTGATCTTCCATCACTGATACCCTTTCTTCCAGTTGATCGAATCGGCTACTGAGGCTTGTGCTTTCATCATGTAGTTCTTGTGCTGTGGTTTTCAGCTCCATCAGGTCCTTTAAGGACTTCTTTGCATTGGTTATTCTAGTTAGCCATTCATCTAATCTTTTTTCAAGGTTTTTAACTTCTTTGCCATGGATTCGAACTTCCTCCTGTAGCTCAGAGAAGTTTGATCATCTGAAGCCTTCTTCTCTCAACTCATCAAAGTCATTCTCCATCCAGCTTTGTTCCATTGCTGGTGAGGAGCTGCATTCCTTTGGAGGAGGAGAGGTGCTCTGATTTTTAGAATTTTCAGTTTTTCTGCTCTGTTTTTTCCCCATCTTTGTGGTTTTATCTACCTTTGGTCTTTGATGATGGTGACGGACAGATGGGGTTTTGGTGTGGATGTCCTTTCTGTTTGTTAGTTTTCTTTCTAACAGTCAGGACCCTCAGCTGCAGGTCTGTTGGAGTTTGGCGGAGGTCCACTCTAGACCCTGTTTGCCTGGGTATCAGCAGCAGAGGCTGCAGAACTGCGAATATTGGTGAACAGCAAATGTTGCTGCCTTATCGTTCCTCTGGAAGTTTTGTCTCAGAGTGGTACCGGGCGGTGTAAGGTGTCAGTCTGCCCCTACTGGGGGGTGCCTCCCAGTTAGGCTACTTGGGGGTCAGGGACCCACTTGAGGAGGTAGTCTGTCCGTTCTCACATCTCAAGCTGCATGCTGGGAGAACCACTACTGTCTTCCAATCTGTCAGACAGGGACATTTAAGTCTGCAGAGGTTTCTGCTGCCTTTTGTTCAGCTATGCCCTGCCCCCAGAGGTGGAGTCTACAGAGGCAGGTAGGCCTCCTTGAGCTGCAGTGGGCTCCACCCAGTTCGAGCTTCCAGTCTGCTTTCTTTACCTACTCAAGCCTCAGCAATGGCGGATACCCCTCCCCCAGCCTCACTGCCTCCTTGCAGTTTGATCTCAGACTGCTGTGCTAGCAATGAGCTAGGCTCCGTGGGCATAGGACCCTCCGACAGGTGCGGGACATAATCTCCTGATGTGCCATTTGCTAAGACCGTCGGAAAAGCGCAGTATTAGGGTGGGAATGACCCGATTTTCCAGGTGCCATCTGTCACCCCTTTCCTTGGCTAGAAAAGGGAATTCCCTGACCCCTTGTGCTTCCCGGGTGAGGCGATGCCTCACCCTGCTTTGGCTCAAGCTTGGTGCACTGCATCACTGTCCTGCACCCACTGTCTGACACTCCCCAGTGAGATGAACCCGGTACCTCAGTTGGAAATGCAGAAATCATCTGTCTTCTGCGTTGCTCACGCTGGGAGGTGTAGACTGGAGCTGTTCCTATTCGGCCATATTGGAACCACCCCCTCCAAGAAAAACCTATAAAGATTCTAAAGAGTTAAGGCCAACTATATACTTAGAAGGCACAGTCCCCAAGATTACCTTCATTTCTGACAGCAATTGCAAGCTGAGGGTATTCCCAAAACCACCCTCAGGTTTGATATTCCACTAGAAGGATTCACAGAACTGACTGAAAATTATTTTTTTATAATGATGGGGTATTATTCTTTCACCCAGGCTGGGGTTCAGTGGTGTCATCATAGTTCACTGCAGCATTAAGCTCCTGGGCTCAAGCAATCTTCAGCCTTCCAAAGCATTGGGATTAGAGGTGTGAGCCACCATGCCCAACCAATGAAAACTGTTATACTCACAGAGTTTATTACACGAAAGGAAAACAGATTAAAATTAACCAAAAGAAGAGGTGCAAAGGGCAGCATCCAGTGGAGCTGCAAACATGAAGCTTCCATTGCCTTTTCTCTGTGAAATCAGGATGTGTTACTATCCCAGCCTTGATGTGTGATAATATGCATGGAGTATTGCCAACCAAAGAAGCTCACTCAAGGTTTGGCATTCACTGCAACTTCACTAGGTAGGCAGGATTGATTAATTGATTTCCCACATGATTGATCTCAGCCTCCACGTTGACTGATAACTATATGATCCAAGGGCCCCACCCTAAGTTATATTGCTGGTCTTTCTGGCATAGCTAGCTCTCACCCTAGGACCACTGGGTGTGGCTGGTCCTGCTCTAAGATCCAGTAAGGCCAGTCCCCACTCAGACAAGGATAGTCCTATTGGGATTGATACAGTTTACTTCCCAGAAACCAGAAGCAAAGGCCAGACTTCTCTTTGGGCAAATCTAAATTCTTTACAACATAAGTAATCCCATGGCCTTTGGCCAAGATATTTTATAACAAAATAATCATGTTTGAGAATTTATATTTAATATAGCATTTATTACAGATAAAGCAATAGTATCAGTATAAATATGACTCACAATCGAGGATCCATTATCGAGGTAGGGATAGACTTAAAGAAAAAACTAACCCATTTTACAAAGCCTACAAAAAACTGCATAATTTTCCATAGTTTTTTCCCTTGCTTTACTGTTATTTGTATCTTATGATAAACATGTACAGAAATATTTAGGCATAGAAATTAGCTGATGGTTAGTGTCTTTGTTTGTTTGAGCTGCTTTGATGAAATACCATAGATTGGTGGCTTAAACAAAGAACATTTATAACTGACAGTTCTGAAGGCTAGGAAATTCAAGATCAAGACACTGATAGATTCAGTGTTTGGTGAACCCACTTCCTTTGTTCATTGACAGCTGTCTATTCACTGTGTCCACACTTGATGGAAAGAGGGGGAGAGAGCTATCTGGGTCCCTTTTATAAGGGCACTAACCCCATTCATGAGGGCTCCACCCTCATGATCTCGTCACCTCCAAAAGGCCCCAACTCCTAATACCACTTCACTGGGGTTAGGTTTTCAATAAATAAATTTTGGGAGAACACAAACATTCAGTCCATTGCATTCTACTCCTGACTTCCCCAAATTCATGTTCTTCTCACATGAAATATACATCCATTCTATCCCAACTAGCCTCAAAGTCAACTCATTACAGCATCACTTCTAAAGTCTCAAGTCCAAAGAGTCATCTGAAAATCATCTAAATCAGATACGAGTTATACTCAAGGTATGGTTCATCCTGAAGTAAAATTCTACTCTAGGTGTGAATCTGTAAAACCAAACAAGATACTTTCTTCCAAAATACAATGATGGGGCAAGCATAGGATAGACATTCCCATTCCAAAAGGGAGAAATGGGAAAGAAGGAAGAGACGATAAGTCCCAAGCAAATCCAAAACCTAGCAAGATAAACTGCATGCGATCTTAAGTCTCAAGGAGAATCCTCTTTGACCTCACGCTTTGTGCTCCAGGACCACAGCAGCAGAGGTCCTGCCTTGTAGACACTCAGGGCTAGCAGCATCACTCCCACAGTTCACTGGGGTCACTGCCCACATCGTGGCTTTCTGCAGTGGCCCTGCTCCTGCCACAGTTCTCTGTTGGGATGAGTGGGGATGTCAAACCACCAGGCTCCAGTGAGCATTGATTCTGTCTTTGAAATTGAGGTGGAGGCAGCCTTGCTTCCTGGGCCTGTGCACTCTGAGCCTGTGGTGGGAGTGGCAGCCCTGATAATTTCCAAATCATCTCGGAGGTCTTTCCTCTCTTGGCTTGAGAATAGTGCATCTCTGTGGCAGTCTTGGTGTGTGCTGCTTTAACAAAATACCAGAAACTGGGTAATTTATAAAGGCCGAAAAATTATTTCTCCCAGTTCTGGTGGATGGAAAGTCCAAGATCAAGGCACTGGCAGGTTTGGTGTCTGGTGAGGGTCCCAGTCTCTCCTTCCAAGATGGCATCTTGATGCTGCATCCTCTGGAGGGGAGGAACACTGTGTCCTCACATGGTGGAAAAGACAAAAGGGGAAAAGAAGGCTGAACACATTGTTAAGCTTCTATTATAAAGGCTTTAATTCCATCAATGAAAGAAGAGCCCTTATGATCTAATCACCTCTTAAAGGCACCGCCTGTTAATATTGTCACATTGGCCATTAAGTTTCAGTAGATGAATTTCGTAAGGGACACATTCAAACCATAGCAGCAGCTGCCTAGTTCAATGACCTCGTCCTGTAGGGTCTGAGAAGTCTGACAGTATTCTTAAGTTTGTCCCACTTCCCTATTTTCTCTAGACCCAGCTTGGCAGTGTTTCCTCTGGTATAGTCTCATATCACTGTTGCTGGCTTTTGTTGAGATGGTTGATTCAGTCCATAGTTTGCATCTATACTTATCATATTATCAAACAGTCAGTTGAGCACACCCTTAATGTTCTCTTCAAAACATTCTTTCTCATGTTTTTTCAATGTGAATAGGCTGAGAATTTTCCACAATTATAAGTTCTGCTTCCTCTTTGCTTAACAGTTATATCCTTAAGTCATTTTCACTTCTCAAATTTTACTATAAGCAGTCTGAAGAAGCCAAGCCATACCTTCAACAGTTTGCTTAGAATCTCTTCAGCTAGATATCCAATTTTGTTGCTTGCAAGTTCTGCCTACACTGCACAAACACTAGAATGCAAACACAATTCTTTGACACAGTCTATAAAACAGTAGAACATGAACACAATTCAGGCAAGTTGTTTATTACTTCAGAACAGGGATTGCCTTTGCTCCAGTTTCCAATAATGTGTTCTTCATTGCCATCTGAGGTCTCATCAAATTGGCTTTCAAAATTTCATTCATGGCAGTTAGGTTTTTTTCTTGCATGCACCTCAAAACTCTTTTAGCCTCTATGCATTACCTAACTTCAAATCTGCTTTTACATTTTTAGGTATTTGTCATAGTACCCTGCACCACCCCCCCCCCCCCGCCCCCACCCACCTTCTTGGAACCAATTTCTGTCTTAGTCCATTTGGGTTACCATAACAGAAATACCATGGGCTGAGCAGCTTAAATAAAAAAATTCATTTCTCAAAATATCATCTCTTGCTCTGGGCCTCTTTCAAGATATTAATGCAATACTGGATTTTTGTCATTGTATGACCCATTTATTAATTTCCTTGCCCTTAGCTACAATTCTTCCTTCTCTACATATATAGCTAAACTTTTCTACTTTTGGAAGGGATATTAGGCTCTGCCAAGGTGCTGGTCCAGATTGCCGTCAGCAATACTAGTCTAGCAAATTCCTCCCACTCAGTTTGTTTCTAGTAATTTAGAGTAGGGTTACATAGGTACAGAACTGATGAGTTACCTCAACCACTAGGTAATATAAGCACATTTATTATCAACCACAGTTTTGCCAATTGAGATGAATACACAGTTCACCCCATTAAGCCCTAGTAATTCTGACATAAGTGTTAACAAGTACCGTTCCAGTTTCCTTACTTAAGGATCATCTCTGCTTCCTGTACCCACAGTTGCAGCCCTAGTCCTGGGACTACTGCATCAGGTAAGAAGGAAATTTCAAGTGATACGGTGTTATTGTGAAGCCTGGCAAGTATGAAATCCACAGAAAAGGCCAGCAGAATGGAAACTCAGGCAAGAGTTTATGTTGTAGTCTTAACACAGAATTTCTTCTTATCCAGAAAACCTCAGGTTTTTGTCATGAAGACCTTCAGCTGATTGGACAAGGCCCACCCATGTTGTGGTGGGTAAACCACTTAAGGTCAATTGATCATGGGTATTAATCACATCTATAAAATACCCTCACAGCAACGTGTAGGCTAGTGTTCTGCCAAACAACTAGGCACCACAGCCTACCATGTTGACGATAAAATTACCCATCACACCTTCTTTGATCAGATTGGTAGCCTTACAAACAAAATGCTATACATTCACCTTGGAACTGCCTCTTATAAAACAAACAGTTCTTTGCCAATTTATTATGGCATTTTTCTGGACAATGCCCTTCCCATTAGAGCGTTTATTTAAGATTACTTAAGACATTATGGGTGGTTCAGATTTCAGGATTATTTTATGTCCTTCAGTCATAGGGGCATTTTCAATTAATATCCAATAGCATGCTAGTAATTGTCTCTCAAATGGGTATTTTGTGGTTCCAAATCCCAGTGGTTGTCTCTGGATAGTGCTTACAGGCTTTTGCCAAGTCCCAGGCCATGCTCCACACATAGCTATTGTAACAGACCATTTGTCCATAATCTTTTTTTTTTTTTTTTGGTAATCTAGATACTCTAAACTGTTTTAAATTAACAAATGTGTGGGTTTAGGTAACTTCATTGATTCTTATTTAGCATGTCCAATCAATATTGGCAGAAAGGTGGGTTTACATGCCTTCTGTTTTATAATACTAGATATTAGAAACATTCTTCATTAAAATACATTATCCATTACCATAATAGATTCAGGTAAAGGAGATACAAAAACTTCACATAAAGCCTGTTTAGATATTCCAATTTCCACGTAACCTTTCACCTTAATTCCATCAACATTTGAATGTTTATATCCTAGAGGGGATATATTTAGGTTAGGCAGACTTGCCTCTGAGGTACACTGTCCAGCAGGTGCGCAAGACAATTTCAGAACACACACAGAGAAAACAGGAGAGCTGGTGACTTAGGTTTTTGGAAAAGAGCCTATTTTAGTTGAAAAAAGCATAGGAAGCCCCAGACATTGCATGGTTTTAGGCCTTAGCCTCACCACTCTTGTGAGCTTCCTGTCCAGGAGGGCCATCAGTGCCTCAGATCTACTCAGTGTGGACCCTAATGTCCTTCCCACTCCTGTGAGCCATCCATCAGTGTGAGCTGAGAAATCAGTGATGGAGGCTTGGCAGGGAGAGGATAGCAGAGTCACTTATGGCCAAAAAGAATTGTTCTGGAGGTTGGTTGGTAAGCAGGAGAGACAGAAAGGGGAGATGAAAACTGCATATGGGAGTTGGACACCTCCAGCCAAAGAAGGTGAGGCATAGAGACCTCTTAACACCAGGGAACAATCTGAGTCATGGCACCAAATATGTTAGGAGCAGGGAATACCCAAGTTACCAGTGGTGAATCTGTATGGATCTGCAGCAAACTCAACTCTTGCTTCCTCAGAAGAAAGAATTTGGCTGAATGGCATAAGGCAGAAAAAGAGACTGAGGCAAGTTTCAGAGCAGGAGTGGAAATTTATTTAAAAACTTTAGAGCAGGAAAGAAAGGAAGGTATACTTGGAAGAGATCCAAGCGGGCACTTTGGAGGTCAAGTGCCCTGTTTAACCTTGGTCCTAGGACTTTATATGCGGTCTACTTCTGGCATCTTGCGCCCCTTTCCCTTCATTCTTTCCTTTGGGTGAACTGCGTGCATTCGTGGCGCCCTCCTTGTGCAAGGGAAGTGAGCATGCTCAGTGTGTTTAGGAAGCTGTTGGCATGCTCACCTGAGGCTTTCTTCCCTTTTCTGGCGGACTGCCCACAGAAGGTCACACTCCACCACTTTGTCTCTTAATACACATGCTCCAGCTCACTCGCACAATTCCTGATATTTTATTGGAAACTGCTGACTGCCAATTTTAAGTGTTTTTATGTATTGGGAAATTGCCTCTTCCTGGTCCCTGTGACCAATTATCATTTTAGTGTGACAACTGTGGGCCATGAGGAAATTATCACTCCCTGGGCCCCAACTACTAGTTATCATTTTTAGAGAGGCAATGTGACAACTGCTGAACCATCACCTGATGGTCGCCTGACATTTGTGGTGGGTGGGTGGGGGAGGGCCCTCTTCTGCCCTGCTCATGCCTGACTGTTACTGTAACATTTAGAGATTTCCACAATGCTGGGATGAGTTCCTGGACTCTCCACTTTGTCATTCTCTATTCTTGTGAGTCAGCCTAACCTTCACTATCTGCTGTTTCTGCACATTTTTCCCCCCTTGAAAGCAGCTCTAAGTCTCGTGGCTGTTGCTGGGAATGGCTTGATTCCACGCTGGTCCCAGCATCAGGGTCCACCGCCAGAGTTCCTTTTACTTTCACTTTCATTTTACCTATAGGTTGGGTCCCTGAGGCCAGTGGCTATAGCTTGAGCTAACTGGAATCCACACTTGTTCCAGCATTAAGATCTGCTCCATTTTTCCTTATTTTCATTTTAGCTATTACAGACAACAATGACCAAGGCATTGTATATTTCACTAATTTCTTGTTAATTTGCATTTCCTTATGCATCTAGTGAACCAACTTCCTGGGAGTTCTAAATTCTATTTGTAACCTTTAAAATACCTCCAGATCATTGCACAGCTGTAGTTTTATACCGTATGACTCTGGGCCATTGCAAAATCAAAGATTCATTCTCTGCACCCTCTCATCCTTCTTACCAAACCACATGATTCAATGAGTCAGGGTTGTTCCAGTAAATCCCACTTCACAGAAACCAACTGCAAGAAGCTAGGGCACACTGTAGAGTTAGAAGTCGCTGTCTCCAATATTGCCCTCAATTCTGATACCAATTGCAGTTTTGCAGAGGTTCCCCAAACTACCTAGAGTGTTGACAATTTGCTAGTATAACACACAAAACTCACTGAAATTGAATATACTCTTGTTTGTGGTCTATTACAGAATAAGGATATAGATTAAAGTGAGCAAAATGAAGAGAAACACAGGGCAAAGTCCATGAAGGTTCCAAATATGAAGTGTCATAGTTCTCTCCCCATGGAGTTTCCTGGCATTGATGTGTGACAGTATGAATGGAGTATTTCTAAACAGGGACGTGCACATGAACTTTAGTATTTAGAGTTTGTATTGGGCTTCATTACATAGGCATGATTGATCAACACATATAGTTGACCTCAGCCTCCAGGTTGACTGACATTGTGTGACCTAGAGACCCCATTGCTAGTCCCTACCCTAAGACTATTTGGTATGGCTGGTCTCACCCTAAGATCCACTGGGGCCAATTCCTCTTTTAAACAAAGACATTCTATCAAATATGATATAGATTATCTTCCAGAAGCCAAGGACAAATACCAGACCACTCACTGAACAAGGCCAATTTTTTGACTACACAAGAATAAGCTGGATAGTGGTGTTGGTCTCCAGTTCCTTCTTGAAAAGGTGGAACATTTAGCCAGGATTACAGGGTCATCTTCTGTGTGCCTCACCTTGTTGTGTGATATACTCTGCAAAGCGATTGCCTGCATGTGCTGCCTCCCTCCATTGTCACATCTCTATTTACTGATCATTCAGGGTTCTTAGTTACCATACATGGTTACTTCTTCTGTGTCCTGGGAAGATGAAAGTTGTTTTGTTTTGTTTTGTTTTTTGAGATGGAGTTTTGCTCTTGTTACCCAGGCTGGAATGCAAAGGCGGCATCTCAGCTCACCACAACCTCCGCCTCCCGGGTTCAAGAGATTCTCCTAAGGCCTCCTGAGTAGCTGTGATTACAGGCATGTGCCATCACACCCAGCTAAATTTGTATTTTTAGTAGAGACGGGGTTTCTCCATGTTTGTCAGGCTAGTCTCGAACTCCCAACCTCAGGTGATCTGCCTACCTCGGCCTCCCTAAGTGCTGGGATTACAGGCGTGAGCCATCGCGCCCGTCCAAAAGATCTTTTAACACTTCATTGTCAGGCAGTCTCATCCTGCCAGAAAAGGAACTAAAAAAGGAACATCATTTGCTGAGATACTTGACACTTCCTTTGTAACACCATTAAAGATTCCCTAAGCAACAGTATCTCTAGTCATAGATTTTATTCACTATGGATACCTCAATTTGTAGTATAGTGGTTCTAAAACTTTATCCAAATCACCTGGAGATATTCTGATTCAGTGGGTCTGTGAAACAAATGGAATCTGCATGTCTAAGTTCCCAAGAGATGCTGATGCCACTGGTCTGCAGACCACATTTTGGGAGCCTCTGTTATAGCACACGGTTTTAGAAATCATCTGTTCATGTCTGCATCTCTGTTGGAAGGCAAGCTTTTCAGTTACAGGAACTGTTTTTTTTCATTAATATGTGCTCTCATGACCTAGGAGAGTACTTAGTAAACAATCAATATATATTTATTGATTGAATGGATGGTAATGTTGTTTCTAGCTTTATGCTACTTATATTGATGCTGCATCTACCTATGTGTTTGAGGATAGTAACATGCCTGTATTTTTCATATATGTTCTGTTTGCATTTTAATATAATTGTTAATAATGAAAGCACTATTTTGCCACACTTTAACGATTTTAGACTGATCTATTGCTAACAGTATTTACAAACTTTTTTGCTAAATCATGAGGGATGTGTGTCTGTGTGGTGGATTTAAAACATTATTTTCCTTTTATTATATGTGAATTGATAATATAAAATTGTTACATGAAATATTTGGCCACTGTATACCTTGCAGGCAAAATTAATGAAAAAGAAAAATTTATAGAATCTAGGCTAATTTAAAAGTGTGATGAAAAGCGTCCTCACAAATTAAAGTTTGGAGAATGGTAGAAAGTACCAGAATGCATTGATAGTCTTTCTGAAGATTTTTTCCCCTATTCTGTCCTCTGCTCATTAACTGTTAAATTAATATGCATTTGGATTCTATTTGGCCTTTTTAATACCATATTCCCAAACCTAAGTGGAACTAAAGGCAAACTACCTTTATTTTCTCTCTTTTACATCACTCAACTTTTTCTAACTAGCACTATTAATTTTATGAAATTAGCAAACCATGTTATTTCGGGGCATGATTTAGACCAGTCTTCTTAGCTAAGTGAAGTTCAACCTCAGTTTTGTCCATTTTACTTAAAACATCTAATTAAGAAGGCCAATGAAGGGAAAAGTATGGTTAAAGGTGCGTAGGACTTACTTGTGTTATGATGAGAAACTGTAGCAAGTAGGATTATTTAACTTTGCATAGGAAAAGCTAAGTATAAAATTAAGATTATAAAATACGTGATTAATTTGATTACTTTCTTCTTTGCATCAGTCCAATAATATGTTGAAAATAGTCACTGGATAATATTAATGGCATATAATTTTAAAACCATAAAAAAGACGTACTGTTCTAAACAGCACAAAATCATACTATAAAATTCTTAACCACTGAAAATTTAGTATTAGATTTGACAGCTAGGTTTTTAAAATGACTGAAAAATTAATTTTAGCTTAAAGACTCACAACAGACTTGAAACTAACATTTAAAGGGAATATGTTAAGATGTGTCCACTGAAAAGAACCACTTACTGAGGATACATCGTTTTTCAGTCATCCCTGATAGACAAAAGCAATGTGAAATATGAAATATCCTGTTTGTGTCCAATTTGAGAAGATTATTATAAAATGAGTCATTTATTTTGGTTATTTAATGAGTCTGTTATTACAAAATATATTTTTCATTCATGCTGGGCATCAAATATTTAGACTTGATTTCACTAGATAATTACAACTTTGAACAATAAAAACCACATTGAAACGGGGAAAATGTTTTGTAATTTGGTCCCAGTCAAAACTATGAACTAGGTACCTTTTTTTTTTTTTTTTTTTTGAGGCTAGCCTACCTCCCTTTGGTGTCTCATACAGTAATTTCATTCTATTTCAGGGTTTTCCACTTATGGGACAGGCTTCCAAATCCCATAGGGCCAAGATCTCTAATACGTGATGATTTGCTAATCCTGTGAAGTCAACTGCACTGATGCAGCGAGTTCCTACCAGTTGGATAGGGTGCTGTAGACCGTGGCTTTTTAACTTACTTAGTGGAAAATGGAGTCTTTTAGAGTTGTTGGGGGCCTTAGAAGTTACTTTCTGAACAAGGCACCTCTTCACTAACAGTTCCTGTGATGGTAAGACCACAACTTTACAAAGTGAGGCACATCTAGAAGTTGGAAAACTATATCTTACATGAAGCCAAAATCAAGAAGTAGAAACATGCAGAAGAAAGAACATTATTTCTGGAGAAGTTTCAGGGCCAAAACCCAGCATCAGTATTCACTGTCTGTGTGAATCTAGGCATGGTTCTTAACTTTGTTGACCTCTATTCCCTAGTAAATGAAGAGGAATAAAAGAAATTATCCATCAGTGAATGAATGGATAATGAAAATATGAAATGGAATACTATTTTATTTTTAAAAAGAAGAAAATTCTGTCATTTATTAATGAACCTGGAAGACATTATGCTGTGTAAAATAAGCCACAACAGGAGAAATATTTATGATCTCACTTACATGTGGAATCTAAAACAAACACATTGAAACAGAGAGCAGAATGATAGTTACCAGAGGCTAGCGGTGAGGGAAGTGGGGAGATGTTGGCCAAAGTGTACAAAGTTTCAGTTACACAGGAGGAATAAATTTTTTGAGATTAATTGCACAACATGGTGACTATAGTTAATAACGTATAGGTGGCACATTTCAAGATTGCTAAGAGAGTAAATTTTCAAATGTTCTCACTGCAAAAAATTATAATTATTTCAAATATATATTTGAATATATAATTATATATATTTATATATAAATATATATAATTATATATATAATAAAATATATAAATTTTTTATTTTATATACATTTTATATAATATATAAATATATATAAAATTATATATTTATAAATATATATAAAATTATATATTTATATATAATTATATATTTATAAATATATATAAAATTATATATTTATATATAATTATATATTTATAAATATATATAAAATTATATATTTATATATAATTATATATTTATAAATATATATAAAATTATATATTTATATATATATAAAATTATATATTTATGTATATATAAAATGATATATTTATATATATATAAAATTATATATTTATATATATATAAAAAATTATACATTTATATATAAATATATAAAAAATTATACATTTATATATAAATATATATAAAGTTATACACTTATATATAAATATATAAATATATATAAAGTTATACACTTATATATAAATATATAAATATATATAAAGTTATACATTTATATATAAATATATAAATATATATAAAGTTATACATTTATATATAAATATATATAAAATTATACATTTATATATAAATATATATAAAATTATACATTTATATATAAATATATATAAAATTATACATTTATATATAAATATATATAAAATTATACATTTATATATAAATAAATATATATAAAATTATACATTTATGTATAAATATATATAAAATTATACATTTATATATAAATATATATAAGATTATACATTTATATATAAATATATATAAGATTATACATTTATATATAAATATATATAAGATTATACATTTATATATAAATATATAATTATATATATAAATATATAAAATTATATATTTATATATATAATTATATATTTATATATATAATTATATATTTATATATAAATATATAAAATTATATATTTATATATAAATATGAAAATATAAAAAATTATAATTATTTCAAATGATATGTTAATTAGCTCAATTTAGTTTTTATATATTTATTTTTATTGCATATTGACAAATTATAAGGTACAAAGTAGTAATATGATTTTTAGATAAAATGTGGAATTATTAAATTAAACTTATTAACATATCTGTCACCTCAAATATTTAACATATTTTGTGATAAGAAATTACTTTAGAAATTTACTCCTTTAGCAATATTGAAATGTATAGTCCTCAGTTATGAGCTATATTATTAGTACTCAATTATTAGCATGCTCTGCTGTTGATCTTCAAAAATTAAACCTATTCCTCTTATCTTGTATACATATATCACAATATTACTTTATATCCTAACAATATATACGATTATAATTTGTCAACTTACAATATAAAAAGAAAATTATCAAAAGAATAATGAAGACATAAAATTAAATATTTACAACACAGCATACAGTGCTTGGCACTTAGTGAAGATCCAATAAATCTAATTTTCTCTTTTTTTCCTATTCTTCCTAGTTTGGTTCTTTCTGTGTGAAACATACAATTGTTCTGTTCCTTCCATTTCATGACAACTTTCCAAATATCTAAATCTAATTTTCATGCTTCTCTTTTTACTATTTCCTTTTGCAGTCTAAATATCACCATTTCTTTCACTCATTCCTTGTACTATGTCCTTCCAATCCCTTACTGTCCCATTTCTTTGATATGAGTTGTTTTACTTTATAAATGTCTTCATAGAATTTTGGTGCCTATAATTGGGGGCAGTGAGCAGTTCTCTAGAAGTGATAATATAAAATAATTTTTGAGATGTTGAATTGTATTGTTTTCCATTTTTTATACCACCTCATCTTTCTTGGTCACTGTGCAATGCTTTATAGCACCTTATCATTATCTGAAATATTTTTGTTATTAATTAGTGAATTAATTAATTCACCAAGAATGTGTTTGTTTATTATTTTCACTTGTTATTTGAACGCAAACCACATTATGAAAGAACCCTAGTCTGTTTGGTTCATCATTTTATAACTAGCGCTTGGTATAGTCTCTGGCAGAAGGAACATATTCAATAAGTAATTGATAAATATTGTATTTAAAAGCACCTTGAGAAATGATTTGAGGCGGAGATGATGATGACCATTTTTATGCAATTCCCTACTTACAAATCTTGAAAAAAAGTAATTATTTATAATTTGAAATTTGTTTTCTTATGGTAAAAATGTATCTATGTTAAAAAAATTAATAAAAAGATATGAATAAATCTACCTTTGATTCCATTCATCAGGCCTTTCTTTTGGTTAGAGTACATGAGGCTGCTCTTCAGGTAAAGAGACCATTCTCCATCCAGATACAGAGGAATTCCCTCTGCAACCAGAACAGTAGCCCTTGCCCACCGCTGAAGAAATTCTCCTCCTACTGACAACTGTGGTTGACAGATACAATGGACATTCCCATGCCCCTGGTATACTACAAGTAAGCACAGTTCTGGCTATGTGTCATTTATAAAATGGACATTACAATTTAAACAGTTGTATAGTAGTAGTTAATAATTTAATGAGATAATTGTTAGGAAAATTATTTCACCACTCCTATTCAACATAGTACTGGAAGTCTTAGCCAGAGCAATCAGGCAAGAGAAAGAAATAAAAGGCATCCAAAAAGGAAGAGAGGAAGTTATACTATCTCTGTTCACAGATGTGATTCCATACCTAGAAAACCCCATAATCTCTGCCCAAAAACTCCTAGATCTGATCAACAACTTCAGCAAAATTTCAGGATATAAAATCAATGTACAAAAATCAGTAGCATTTCTATACACCAACAATGTCAAAGCGGAGAGCCAAATCAAGAATGCAATCCCATTTACAATGTCCACAAAAAGAATAAAAAACCTAGGAATGCAAGTAACCAGAGAGGTGAAAGCTGTCTACAACAAGAATTACAAAACATTGCTCAAAGAAATCAGTGATGACACAAACAAATGTAAAAACATTTCATGCTCATGGATAGGAAGAATCAATATTGTTAAAATGGCCATACTGCCCAAAGCAATTTACAGATTCAATTGCATTCCTATCAAACCACCAATGATATTCTTCACAGAATTAGAAAAAGCTATTTTAAAATTCATATGGAACCAAAAAAAGAGCTCAAATAGCTAAGACAATCCTAAGCAAAAAGAACAAAGATGGAGGCATCATGTTACCTGACTTCAAACAATACCAAAAAGCTACACTTACCAAAACAACATGGTACTAGTACAAAAACAGACACATAGAGCAATGGAACAGAATAAAGAGCCCCAAAATAAGACCACAAACCTACAACCATCTGATCTTTGATAAAGGAGACAGAAACAAGCAATGGGGCAAGGACTCCCTATACAATAAATGGTGCAGAGATAACTCACTATCCATATGCAGAAGATTGAGACTGGACCCCCTTCGTACACCATATACAAAAATTAACACAAGATGGATTAAATACTTAAATGTAAAACTGAAAACTATAAAAACCCTGGAAGATAACCTAAACAATACCATTCTGCACATAGGCCCTGACAAATATTTGATGACAAAGATGCCAAAGCAGCCAGGCCTGGTGGCTCACGCCTGTAATCCTGGCACTTTGGGAGGCCGAGGTGGGTGGATCACGAGGTCAGGAGATCGAGACCATCCTGGCTAATACGGTGAAACCCCGTACTAAAAGATACAAAAAATTAGCCGGGCATGGTGGCGGGCACCTGTAATCCCAGCTACTCGGGAGGCTGAGGCAGGAGAATGGTGTGAACCCAGGAGGCGGCACTTGCAGTGAGTGGAGATCGCGCCACTGCACTCCAGCCTGGGTGACAGAGCAAGAGTAGGTCTCAAAAAAAAAAAAAAAAAAAAAAAGATGCCAAAGCAAGTATAACAAAAACACATACGACAAATGGGACCTGATTAAACTAAAGAGTTGCTACACAGCAAAAGAAACTATCAACAGAGTAAACAAACAACCTACAGAATGGGAGAAGATATTTGCAAATTGTGCATCTGACAAAGGACTAATATCTAGCATCTATAAGGAACTTAAGCAAATCAACAAGCAAAAAACAACCCCATTAAAAAGTGGGCAAAGGACACAAACGGACACTTTTCAAAAGAAGACATACACATGGCGAACAAGCATATGAGAAATGCTCAATATCACTAATCATTAGAGAAATTTAGAGAAATGCAAATCAAAGCCACAATGAGATACCATCTCATGGCAGTCAGAGTGGCTATTAATAAAGTCAAAAAATAACAGTTGCTGGCAAGGTTCAGAGTCAAAGGAATGCTTGTACACTGCTGGTGGGAACATAAATTAGTTCAGCCATTATGAAAAGCAGTGTGGCAACTTCTCAAAGAACTGAAAACAGAAGTACCATTTGACCCAGCAACCTCATTAGTTGGTATATACCCAAAGGAATATAAATCGTTCTACCATAAAGGCACATACATACATACATTCATTGCAGCACTATTCACAGTAGCAAAGATAGGGAATCAACTTAAATGTCCATCAATGACAGATTGGATAAAGGAAATGTGGTACATATACACCATGGAATACTAGGCAGCCATCATAAAGAATGAGATCATGTCCTTTGCAGCAACATGGAGTGAGCTGGAGACCATTACCCTAAGTTAACTAACACAGGAACAAAAAACCAAATTCTGCGTGTTCTCACTTACAAGTGGGAGCTAAACGTTGCGTACACATGGACACAAAGTAGGGAACAACAGACACGGGGGCCTACTTAAGGGTGGAGGATAGGAGGATGGAGAGGACTGAAAAACTACCTATTAGGTACTATGTTTATTACCTGGGTGATGGAATAATCCGTACACCAAACCTCTGTGACATGCAATTTACCTGTATAACAAACCTGCATATGTGCCCCTGAACCTAAAATAAAAATTTACAAAAATTTGTAAGGGGACTATTTAGTATATAATAGTCTATGAGTATTCAAACTATCACGTAAAATTTTTTTTAGTATTTGTTATTTTAAAATGGGTGTCAGGGTTAAAATAGCACATTGACTCAGTGAAAACATCTAATTTAAATGTCCTCAGTTGCATTTTTCTCTCTCTCTTTAGGGATGGAGTCTCACTCCATTGCTCAGGCTAGAGTGCAGTGGCATGATCATAGCTCACTGCAGCCTTGAACCCCTGGGCCCAAGCAGTCCTCCTGCCTCAGTCTCTTGAGTAGCTAAGAGTATAGGTGTGTGGTGGCACATGCCTGTAGTCCCAGCTACTCGGGAGTCTGAGGCAGGAGAAACGCTTGAACCCGGGAGGCGGAGGTTGCAGTGAGCCAAGATCACACCATTGCACTCCCAATTGGGCAACTAGAGTGAAACTCCATCTAAAAATATTTTAAAATAAAAAATTTTTATAGAGATGGGATCTTGCTATGTTGCCTAGTCTGGTCTCAAACTCTTGGCCTTAAGTGACCCTCTCTTCCCGGCCTCCCAAAGTACTGGGATTATAGCCATGAGCCACTGCACTGGCCTAGTCTATTCTTTTGTTACACATAGAAATAAAAGCTCCTATTAAATATTGTTTAGTCATACAGTAAAACAATTTGTAGCATCAAAATATCCCAAAGGAATGGCTGTAAATTATTGAAAGAAGAAGAGTTTTTGGAAAGAATCATTTGACAATAGCATATTTTCCACTAACATTTTGCAAATGAAGTAGATTTGGTGATTTATTGTTTGGGTTAGTAAAGTAAATAAAGGATAAACTTTTAATTTTAAAAATTTATCTCAGAATTTTATATGCTTAAGGAAAAACCTCCTATTTAATTTTTTTTCTGACTTAAATTGAAGGTCAACTACTATTTCTTGCTAATATCATAAACTGATTTGGCAAAACAGACATAAGTAAATAAAAAGCTATTTAAGATAATAAAAAAACTGCACAAAACATTAAATTAACTCCAAAGCTAAACATTTAAAGTAGATTGTAGTCAAACCATCTTGAAAAAGAAAAATAAATTTAGAGGTTTCAGGCCTTCTGATTCCAAAACTTATTACAAATTACAGTAGCCAAGACAGTGTGGAACTGGCATAAGTAGAGACATATAGATGAATGGACTAAGTTGAGAGTCCAGAAATCAACCTTGACCAGGTACGGTGGCTCACACCTGTAATCCTGGCACTTTGGGAGGCCAAGGTGGGTGGATCACAGGAGTTTGAGATCAGCCTGGCCAACATGGTGAAACCCTATCTCTACTAAAAATACAAAAAGTTAGCCGGGTGTAGTGGCGCGTGCTTGTAGTGCCAGCTACTCAGGAGGCTGAGGCATGAGAATTGTTTGAACACTAGAGATGGAGATTGCAGTGAGCTAATATCGTGTCACCGCCCTCCAGCTCCAGCCTGGGTAACAGAGACAATCTGTCTTAAAATAAAAAAAAATCCAGTCTATCATTGTTGGACATTTGGGTTGGTTCCAAGTATTTGCTATTGTGAATAGTGCCGCAATAAACATACATGTGCATGTGTCTTTATAGCAGCATGATTTATAGTCCTTTGGGTATATACCCAGTAATGGGATGGCTGGGTCAAATGGTATTTCTAGTTCTAGATCCCTGAGGAATCGTATACATATGTAACTAACCTGCACACTGTGCACATGTACCCTAAAACTTAAAGTATAATAAAATAAAATAAAATAAAAAAATTAAAATCTTTACTGAGCATTCTACCAATAAACAACACTGTTCTACAAAAAAAAAAAAAAAGAAATCAACCCTTTAATTTATGATCAGTTGATTTTCAACAAGGGTGTCAAGACAAGTCAATGAAGGAAAGAATAGTCTTTTCAACAAATGACGCTGGAACAACTGAAGTCTACATGGAAAATAATGAAGTCGCACTCCCCACCACCTCATGCCATAAACAAAAAATAACCAAAAATGGATCAAAGACTGTGGAAATATGAGTTAAAACTACAAAACTCTTAAAGGAAAACAGGTGTAAATCACTGGCAAATCTTGGATTTGGCAAGTTTCTTAGATATGACATCAAAAGCATACACCCACACAAAGACAATCTGGACATCATCAAAACTAAACAAAAAAATAATGTGCATTAAAGAATACAATCAAGAAAGTGAAAAGACAATCTATGGAATGTAAAAATATTTGCAAATCATCTATCCTACCAAAGACTAGTACCTAGAACGTATATATAAAAAGTCTTACAACTCAATAATAAAAAGAAAATTCAAGTCAAAATCAGGCAAAAGCTATGAATAGAAATTTCGCCAAAATGACCAATAAGCACATGAAAAGATATTCAACATTATTTGCCTTTAAGGAAAGGCAAAATTAGCTGGGTGCTGTGGTGTGTGCCTATAGTCCCACCTACTCTGAAAGCTGAGGTTGGAGGATGGAGGATCACTAGAGCTTAGGAGTTCAAGACCAGTCTGGTTAAAAAGTGGGACCCTCATCTCAAGAAACAAAGAAAAAAAAATCTAAACCACAATGAGATACCACTTCACACCACAGGGAGGATGGCTGTAATCAAAAAGTAAAAAATAGCAAGTGTTGGTGAGGATATGGAGAAACTGGAACCCGACAACATTAATGGGAATCCAAAATGGTCCAGACACTTTGAAAAACAGTTGTCAGTTCCTCAAATGATTAAACACAGAATTACCATATGGTTTAGCAAATCTATTCCTAGTTATATGCTCAGGAGAAATAAAAAGAAATAAAAATAACAGGTTTTTGTCCCCACACAAAATGTTCATAGGAGTGTTTCAATAGCCAAAATGTGTGAACAACCCAAATGTCCATAAACTGACAAATAGATAAATACAATTGTTATATACATGCAATGGAATTGTACTCAGCAATACAAAGAAATGAAGTTGTGATGCATACTACAATATGAATGAACCTTGAAAACATGCTAAATGAAAAGAAGCCACTCACAAAAACACATATTGTATAATTCCATTTATACAAAATATTCAGAATAGGTGAAACTATAGAGGCAAAAAGTAGATTAGTGGTTTCCTAGGGAAGGAGGTATGAAGGATTATGCAGTGATTGCTAAGCGGTCTGAGCTTTCTTTCTAGGATAATAAGAATGTTTTAAAATTGATTGTGGTGATAGTTGCATAACTATGAATATATTAAGAGTCATTAAATCATACAATTTGAAGGGGCAAATTGTACAGTATATGAAATACATCACAATAAAGTTATTAAAACACTGTAAATTTTACTTAAAATTTGGAGTTGACATATCCTATGTTGATTAGTTAACTTTCTTAGCATTCTAAATGGTATTATAGTGAGTAAAAAAATTATCATTCAAAAATGTGATGCCTTTTATCATAAACATTTATTGAGTTATGTGCCAAATATTGTACTAAAAAATCTGAGATTCAAGAAGTATGTAAAAAGGTTTGAATTAATTTTCTTTAATTCTACAGAAGTTACAAATCAAATTTGTTAAAAACAAATAACAGAATTGAAGGTAAATGTCTTACCCTTACATTTATCTGTGCTTTGCCAGAATTCTGAACTATTCTAAGGATGTTTTCTCCATAAGCATTATATATGTGTGTTTGTGTGTGTATACACTCATTGCATATGCATATCTCATGTATACTCATTACATATCCCATTATAGCATATTCCATTGGAATATGCTATAATGGGATATGTAACTATATGTATATATAAAATACACACACACACATGCACACACACAGAGAGAGTTTTGAAATATAGCAAGAGTTCTAATGAAATTAGTCTGTGTGGAAATAGGTGCTACAGTCCTAGTATAAATCATTGTTCCACTATCCGTAAGCCCAGCTCCAGCATTTGTGAGGGCTGGATAAGAGTAAAAATTGACAGTTACAGATCAAGTGAACAAACTTTTAAATAAAATAAGTTCTTGGTTTCCTCCATGGCAAGTATATTATAATAATGACTACGAATCTGTTTGAGTTTAATAATTTATGGACTCCTTATAGTTTAGCATTGGGATATTGCAGTGAGGGCAAGGCCAACCCTTGATACCTGGGCTTCACCCCTTCTCTTACTATCTCAGCTCCATCCTGAACCCTGAGGGGCCTAGCCTGCATTGTGCAGTCACCCAAGCTGAAATATACAACCTTTATCCATTCCCATTTCCCATCTCATGTGCAAGCAAGGCAGACATGGGGACAACGTTTTCTGGTGAGATTCTTCAGGTACAGCTCCTCAAGTAGGTTTTCTCTCAATCTGAAAACCTGCAAACTAAAGACACAAGTTATATGACCCTCTCCACCAGCATATATAACATACAATGGTGAGACAGGAAGTTGCAATAGACATCTCTGTTCAAAGAAGAGGAAAATAAAAGGCACATAGCAGTCAGTCACTGATCCACAGTGATTCTGAAATCCAGCCTAACATATATTGTCAATCCCTTGGTTTGGGCCTATAGTTGCTTTTTGGGAATGATTCTCCGAAACATTTAAATTTGTTCTCTGGTCTTCTGGTTTTGTTCTCTAAGTTGCCTTTTAAAATGAATGAATGAATGTATGAATGAATAAATAAATAAATAAATGGCCTATGTTTGACACAGAGCAATGGTCTCTGTTCTCATCCTACCTCCTGCCCATGGAAATTAGGAAGTCTAAAGACCTTTTTTGATTTTGTACTCTCTCTTCCTGTCAGTTCACACTGATGTAACTTCTTTAAGGAACTATGTAGAGTTCCTGTATATCAGATAATAATTTTCTTTAGTAGACTAGTGGCACACCCACATTTCAAATAAAAGTGCCTTAAGCATTTCCTCTACATATGTTGAAGACCGTACCAATTGGTGTTACAATTTTCATTTCAACCATAAAAATTGATTCAAGAAACTCACATGAAGTAGGATGCATATTAAATTTATCCCACATTTTACACATTCTGACATTTATCTTTCTCCTCTTAAATTCTAAGTCTCTTGCTATTATTTCCTCTCTGTATAGAGAACTACCTCTAAACATTTAAGGGTAGGTTAGCTAGCAAAAATTCTCATAATTTCCCTTTGGTTGAGGATGCCTTTATTTTCCTTTTATTCCTGAAGAATATTTTTGCTGGAGAAAGTAATCATGGTTAAGGGTTTTTTTTTCTTTTAGCACTTGAAAAATGTGTAACTTTCTTATGACCGCCGTAATTTCAGATGATAAATCCATTGTCTGATAAGTTGGCCTTCCCTTATAGGTAATGAATTGCTTCTCTTTGTATGCTTTAAATATTTTTTCTTTGTCTTTTGTTGTCAGAAATTTAACTATGATGTATCCTCACCTGGATTTCTTTTTTTTTTTTATGATTCATTCATTTTCTTTAACCTGTAGATCCATGTCTTTTACCAAATTTGGGGATTTTTCAGTCACTATATCTTCAGATAGTTCTTTAGTTCCATTGTGTCTCCCTTTTCTGCTTCTTGGACACCAGTGATACAAATGTTAGCTTTTTTTGCATTGTCCTTCAGGTATCTGAGACTGTGTTTATATTTTCAGTCTATTTTGCTTAATTGTTTATATTGAGTAAATTCTACTCATTGCTTCTCAAGTTCATTGATTTTACCTTCTGTCATCTCCATCTTACTATTGAACCCATCCAGTGTTTTTTTTTTTTTTTTTTTTTTTTCTGAGACAGAGTCTTGCTCTGTTGCCCAGGCTGGAGTGCAGTGGCACAATCTTGGTTCACCGCAACCTCCATAATTCAGTTTTTATATTTTTCAAGTCTATAAATTGTTTTCTTTATTTAAATAGCTTCCATTTCTTTGCTGAGATTTTCTATTGTTTCATTTGTTTTGATAATTCACAATTACTTGTTGAAGTATATTTGTGATGTTCTTCTTTAAAATATTTGTTAGATAATTCCAACAATATATGATTCATCTTGGTATTGCTATCTGTTGATAGTCTTTTCTCATTCGTTTTGTGATTTTCCTGGTTCTTGGTATAATGAATAACTTTCAATTGCATTTTGGACATTTTAGATATTCTATCATGAGATTCTGGGTCCCATTTCATTTTTTTTAAGCAGGCAGTCCCTCTGTGTCTACTCCCTGTTTACCTGGAAGTACTCCCTGTTTACCTGGAAGTACTCCCTGTTTACCTGGAAGTACCTGGAAGTACATTAATGTACTTGAGTACATCAATGCCAGTCTAGATCAAAATTTTAAAAAATTAATTGTATAGTCCAAGGTAATAGATGTGTTTAAAATTTCACTTTTATAATGTTTCTGATGAGAAATGCTTCTGTCAATAAAATAATAAACTTATTTCATTATGAAACTTTGGATTTTGATAATCAATATTCTCCTTTATAAAACTGGGGCCAATATCTATTTTGCTGGATGGTTATAATAAAGTAATGTGTGTTAATCTGTGGCAGAGGGCCTAGAAGATAGTATATACTAAAGAAGATATCTACTATTATTTGTGCTCTTTTAATTATACTAATATCCTCTTATAGAACTTTAAAAAATCTCTGCCTAGAGGTGAATTTAAATTGGCCCAAATGATATTTGAATAAAGGAAGTCTTCTTTATCAGTAAAGAGGTGTTGAAGGATTTAGTGAATGATTTGCCAATCATAAAGCACCTTGTAGGAACTATAGTGCACAGCAGGAGAACAATCGGTGTGTAAAAATGTCTGTTAGCACATATGCATCATATATTCAACAAGGACCACAAAAATAACTGAAAATTGCCGGATTTTTATAATTGTTTAACTGGCTAATATTTACATGGGGGCTTCATTATAATATTCTCCCTGCTTCTATGAAAATTTCTATAACAAATTTTAAAATACTCCACTCTTATGCAAACCAGGTAAAATAAAACATCTTATGAGCATTTTTGTTTTGTTGAGTTTTCCTTTTCTAGAGCCACCTGTCTCACTTGGTGGCTGGGTTAGTTCAGGGGAAGCTAACTCCAGTTGTCTAATGGCTTTGTAGGAAATAAAAGTGAGGAACTTAGGCCAGCCAAGGGGAATGGAAGAAAGCATGCTCTATCTAGACCATATAGCTACTGCTTGGTGTTTGTGACTGTGTCACTGAAGAATACAGACTTAATGTTGCTAGATCTTTTGATCTTTTGAAAGAAGCTGTAAATCTGTATTTTTACCTAAACCTTTTTAATAGTTAAACATTGGCAAAATGTATAAACTGTAAAAGAAATTACTGTGGTATGCAAACAAATTATGTCTGGGTCATACCCAGTTATAACAAAGTTAGAAAATGGTAAAATTTCTATTTTACCAATTGTTTTAATTTAGGCTGCTATAACAATGTGCCATAGACTGTGCAGCTTATAACAACAGAAACTTACTTCTCACTGTTTTGGAGGCTGGAAGTCTGAGATGAGGGTGCCAGAATGACTGGGTTCTGGTGAGGGCCCTCTTCTGAGTTGCAGACTGCCGACTTCTCGCTGTGTCTTTACATGGCACAAAGAGGTCAGGAGAGCTCTCTGGGATCTTCTTTATAAGGACACTCATTCAATTCACGAGGACTCCGTCCTCATGACTTAATCATCTTCCAAAGGCTCTACCTCCCAGAACCACCACATTGAGGATTAGGATCTCAATATGTGAATTTTGGATGAGACACAAACATTTAGTTTAAATCTGTATTGAATACTCTCTTCGGTATTCAGAAATGTGGAAATTTAAGCAACAATCCAATATTATTTTCCATCACATTGTCAAACCATACAAAACAAACTCTAAAATTAATATATTTTAGTGTTTGTAAGAGTACAGACAACTGCATTGTCAATACAGTGTTAGAGTATAAAGGGTAAAAGTACTTTGAAAGATCGGTTGGATGGTAGCTATCAAAAATATATCTACCTGGCCAACTTGGCAAAACCCCATCTCTACTAAAAATACAAAAATTAGCTGGCCATGGGGGCAGGCACCTGTAATCCCAACTACTCAGGATACTAGGGAGACTGAGGCACAAGTTGGTTGCAGTGAGCTGAGATTGCGCTGCTGCACTCCAGCCTGGCCGACAGAATGAGACTGTCAAAAAAAAAAAAAAAAGATAGATAGATAGATATAATCTTGGACTACACAAGTCCATTTCTAGGAATCTATTTAAAGAAAGACATATGTGCAGCAGTAATATGTATATGGATGTAACTTTTAGAGTTGTTTATTAGAGAAAAAGGTAAATGAAGATATACTACATATTTGTTAAGTAGGCGATAGTCAATGAATATGCTGCTTCCAAATTATATAATACTGGACAACAAATGAAAAAATTGTGCAGGATTCATAACTACTTACAAGGAAAGTGCAAGATATGTAGATATTAAAATATATTACTGGAAGAATGGGTATAGTATAATTATGTTTTCACAAAATATTTCTTTTTGTTTTTGGAGATGGAGTCTCACTCTGTGGGAGTGCAGTGGCAGAACCATAGTCATTGCAGCCTCAAACTCTGGGGCTTGAGCTATGCTGCTACTTCACTCTCCCAAGTAGCTGAGACTAGAGGTATGCGCCACTATGCCTGGCTGATTTTTAATTTTTTTTTTTTGTAGAGATGAGGTCTTGTTTTGTTACATAGGCTTCAAGTGATCACCCGCTTTGGCCTCCTAAAGTTCTGGGATTCCAGGTGTGAGCCACCATGCCTGGCCTCTATACTTTTATGTATATGTGTGTTAGTTCTTAGCAAGAGAACTTAAATTACAGACAACAGAATTTTAATATATGTTGCCTTTCAGTTGGGAACTTGGAATGCAGAAGTGAGAGAGCACTTTAACATTTTATAGCTATTGCTTAAATCCTTTCCAATAAATAGGTATTCATTAATTGCTGTATAAATAGAAAGAATAAGCCAGGCACATTGCCCTGGGCATGTAGTCCCAGTTAGTCAGGAGGCCAGGGCAGGAAGATTATTTGAACCCAGAAGTTGTTTGAGGCCAGCCTGGGCAACATAGTGAGAATCTGTCTCTTAAAAAAAAAGACAAAACTAAGAGAAACTAAAAAAAAGGGGTTATCATAGCAATGAAAGATATCTTAAAAATCATTACTTGTTTATTAAAAAGATTAATTAAACTAATGTAGAAACCATGGTATTAAATTCAGAGCTCTATAGTGAAATGATTTAAAATATAGGCTGTCTTGTCTAACTGTATGGGTTCAAATCTAAGACAGTCAGATGTGTGATCTTGTCCAAGATTTGTGTATATAATCTCTACTGATAGCATCTTACAAAAAAAAGTAGACAACAAATGTAAAGTGCTTAGTATAGCTCCTGATACTTTGAGTACATTCTCTACAAATATTAGCCACTAGTATTAATCAATAGGGATTAAAGGTAGAGAACTCAATCAAGTGGATTTGCTCAACCATCTCTGGATATATTTTTAAGGGTATATTTTAAGTCAGAAATCTTCGTTTTTTAATGGGTCAATAATGACACACCGATATTGGCTATTTGAAATTTATATATTCAAGATGATGGGTTTATGGAACTCCCCCATACACGTACACTTTTTGTCTGCTGTTTTGGCATTAGATGGTTCTATAGCCTATATGCAAAATATGGTAGTAAAATATAATCTAATTTTGAGACAAGTGACTTTGTGACAGAACAAATTTCATCAGTTACTTCCCTGCATTTTTATAAGCATGCAAGATCATAATATTACCTCCAATAATGAAGGTTTAGAGAGAAGTCAAAGTTTGGGCGTTGAAACCAATATTTCTTATTAGTCAGTTTTTCTGTGTCAGCCTTATGTGGAAAACAGATGACATGCAAACTGAAATGTAAGTATGTCACCTGGTTATCCTAATAAACATTAGGCAAAAGTTTTCAAAAATGTACTTTGTCAATACATTTCCATCACTCCTGGAAAACCATCTGCTGAAAGACCATTCTTGCTGAAGATAGTCAGAAAACCAAATATAATTCTATTTTTTATTCAGAAAAGGTAAAACCATAAGTAATGGCAGATACTGAAAGGAAAGATGATAGAAGTGACAAACACAGGATGGGTACAGTGGTTCACAGCTGTAATCCCAGCACTTTGGAAGGCTGAGGCAGGAGGATCACTTAAGTCCAAGAGTTCAAGACCAGCCTGGGCAACATAGTGAGACCCTGTCTCTGCCAAAAAAAAAAAAAAAAAAAAGAAGAAATTAGCTGGGCACAGTGATGCACTCTTGTAGTCCCAGCTACTAGGAAGGCTGAGATGGAAGGATGGCTTAAGCCCAGAAAGTCAAGGCTGCAATGAGCTATGTCAGTGACACTGCACTCTAACCTGGGTGACAATGTGAGACCCTGTCTTTAAAAGAAAAAGAAGTGACAAAAACAAAAGGGAACTCAGAGAGGATCTAGAACTCTTTTTGTCGCACAACTTAAATACTTTTAATCATTGAAATTTCTTTAAATATACATTGTTTTTATTCATCCAGAAGTTATTTTACCATTTTAAATGTATAACCCTTGCCAAAGTCATCTCACTGGCAGTTAAAAAGTGTGTTTACTGTCATGATTCTGATTAAAGAAAAAAATTTTATTATAATTAAAATCAAGAAATGTGTGCATTTTAGCATTTCATTCACCCCCTGCATTCTTTTCATTTTTAACTCTATTTTTATTGATAAACTTAGAGCCTTTTCACTAACTAATGTTTGGAAGTGTGCAATCACAGGAATCCCTCCCAAACATGCTAGATTATGGTCAAGGGAAATCGTCATTAATTTATTTGATTTTCTTTTTTTTCAGGACATAGAAGGTATCTAAAATGCCTGCTTCAGGAAAAGACACAGATTTGAAATAAAATATTCGCTAAGCCCTTGTTTTCTTCTAATGAGTAGTTTCTGATTGAGAAAATTACAGATACACAGAGTATGTATTTGTTATATGTTAAGGTTATTCAAACTAATTTCTTTTTATTTATTCATGTTGAATTTGGTTCCTAGCTTTTCTAGTTCCTTGAAATTCAGGCCAATTTGTAATGTTGAGATATTTGTCTTTCTTTATTTCATATTCTACCAAAGCAACAAGTTAGTTGGAAGGATATTGAATAATTCCAACGAAAAATTAGTAACTCAATATTTTTATTTTACATTTGTTACAATTTTTCATTTAATAACATTATAGTTTTGTATAGTTTGCTGCAGTGTATTACAGTTTCTAATATAGTATCTTACTCAACATTCAATACATGCTTACTGAATGATAATCATAATGAACTACATTACACTTAAGCTAGTTTTTGCTATTCTGTTAATTTCACTTAATTTTTCTTATAATTTTTATAATAGATGCCTATTGCTAAAATATCATTTCTATCAGTTGAAACACTGACATGACATTTTGTTTTGCTAGACCCTATCTACACAAATAAATACTATTCATAGAATTTAATTTAAGGACCCATATTTTCAAGAAAAGCTTGTATAGAGCAAAACAAGCTCTTTTCAAGCCAGAAAATGAGATTGAGTGGTAGAGTCAAGGACCTCTAACTTTTGAGTTCACCATTGTATCTAGGAACTATCTGGTAACATGCCTTAACTGCCAGGATAGGAAATGAATATGTCGTATAACTTACTTAGAAGTCCTAGGCCGTGGAGAGCTGTATAAATTAAACTGAACACCTAGAATGACTGTTGGAAGCCAGAGCTATGCACAGAGCATCTGTATAATGTGCTCTGTGTGGTTGGCATTGCTAAACAGACAAGCTGTCACATTCATTCTAGCTGAATATTCTAGGGCTCTTCCTCTGTCAACCAAGGTAGAGGACATGGCAGTAGTCAAACCTCAAGGTGACAAAAACCTAAAGTAGTGTGGTAAGCCCTGTATTAGAGGGGAATTTACAAGTGTAGGTAGGGAGAGGCATCTTTTTCCACAGCATCTATATCATAATCCAAATGCATCCTTGGACTGAGAACATCCCTATTAAAATAAAGGCATATTCTGTAATGACAGGGACCATACTCAGTAAATCTAGATCTTAACAAAATCAAAATCTCTAGATAGGGTCCTATTAAATATTTCTAAGCAAAACAAAAACAAATATTTCGAATACTGCAAGCATTTAATGGGGGAAATGAATAACATTGTGAAATTCAACAAAGAATGTTACCATCAATTTATTAACACAAAGGTTAAATGAATATATTTCAATTTATTAAAAAAGAAAAATAGTCTATTTAGGAAAAAATATTATATGTATTTCTTATTCCAAAGAAGGAAGAAATTAGTTGTTTTTAATTTTTATAAATATTTTCTTTTTAAGCAAAGAAAGAATGATAATCCTTAAATGGCAGGTGTATGGCTTTAGGAGACATTCTATGAATTATGGCTATTTGGTGCCACCTAGTGGTAAAGGGCTTTTAAAAATCAATTTGTGTTACTTCTGCTTTTAGAAAATTGGTAGTGAGAAACAACTTATAGATGGCTGAATGGCCACCTAAAAGAGATACAAATTAAGACAGAATTCATTTGATACTCCTAGACATTAACTAAAATTGGCTGTTACACTCAACACTGGAGTGACATCTGGTTTGACTGAGATAGAATGTTTTATGCCTAAAAGAGCTGATTTGAGGTTGACAGCTTTTTATTCGATTCTATTTTTATTTTTCGATTGGTTGGTTTCTAAAGTCAAGGCTATAGATATGATTGATGTAAAGTTGGAAATGATGTACTATCGCATAATTATTATAATATTATCAATATTATAAATGACATACTTGTGTCATTCTGTGGCCAGAGTGAAACTAACATATGCCTTATAGCATATGGAAGACTTAAAAGTGCCAGATATTATTTTCAGAATTCAGGATGGGCATGCCAAATTTAGTGACCATACCATTATAGCCTCCAGACCAAGCACTTATTTGTTTTTGTTTTTTTTTTTAAGAGAACCTGTTCCAGTCACAGCTGCCAGAAGGAGCAGATGCACAAACCATTGGTCTTCCCTGGGGTACAGTTCATTGAACTGTTTATCATGAATATTCATTATAAGCCAAGAATGAAGCAATACAATGGAATGTCAAAGCCATTTTCAAGTTATGGAATCCACAAAGAAAGAGAATAAGGCAATTCTTTAGAGAAGTCAGAATAGTGGGGCCATGTGTAGAGAATAACAAAGACGAGGGACCTATAATTTATGAGAGAAACGGGTAATCTTATTTTTTGACTTTCAATGCCAGTCTTCCTGTGCCCCAGCTTTTGGCTTTGTTTCTTATTCTTGGTTGTCCCTGATAATGCCTTCCAATGACTGCCTTCTTCCATGACCTGGAGGTTTTTGATTCTTTCAACCAAATGATCCCACAGTATAAAGGTATGTTTCAAATATGGTGAAATGGATTTCATCAAATGGGAATGATAGCTTTCATAAAATATTTATGAATATTGGCTTGTTACCAGGTATAGAATATTTGACTGAAATTTTAATGTTACACTGAATTTTAAATCCTGAATTTTGCTTTTGATAATATTTCTTAGATGTGTATTTTTCTCCTGTATTTCCTATTCAGCAAGTACCTATTGTTGCCTCATTAAGTATTTGTGTGGAGTGTGTAATGCACACTGCTGTTCCTGGCATGGGTTTCCAGAAGTCCTAGATTGGTTGGGTTTATGTGACTGATGGATGTAGAATTATATGCACAAGCTCATGTCTTAGAGAAACACAAAGTGAGAAAGACTTAGTCTAGTCTAGAGACATATAAGTATCACGAAGTGAAGAAGAGAGAGACTTGTAAGACTAGAGAGCAGAGAGGGAGTTAAGTCCTGCTTCTTGATAGTATGCTGGGGATGAAGAGGGGCTAGGGTGGCTAGATCTAAGGGTGGAAATGGCTGTCTTCTCTGTCCAGGCATCAGGGATCATACGAAGCCACAAAGAGTTCTCTTATCTCAATAATACCTCAAAAGGAGTAGCAAAAGGATCTGGAATGTTCTGAACCATGAGGCCGAAACAGGCAGAAAGACCTGTACTGATGGCCAAAGCCAGATGGACCCCTTTCCCTCATCCTTGATCCTGTGTAAGATCCTAGAACTATGCCATCACTCTGGAAAAATTCCAGGAAGAGCTGAGTTAAGTTTTCAAGATCTAAGCAGAATGGGGGCCAGAAACTAGAAATGAAGTTATTATACAGAACAGTAGTTATTGGGCTGTTAGGTGCATGAGCTGCAATTCTGATACATAATTCTAAAATAGGAAGTGTTTCAGTGTTATTTCATATTGACCAATATTTACATTAATTTTACAAACACACTGAGAAAGCTTTTATTCCCTATTTTAGGGGTTTCTCCAAAAAACTACTTCAGCATCACCCAAGTACTTAGTAAAACAAACATAGATTTTTCAGACGGTACCCCAGATGCACTGCTTCTCCATGGTCAGGAATTAGGGGAAACTATTTTAAAAAAGTGCCCAAGTTCTTCAGATTTGTATCCAGATGAGTGTAGCCATCAAAATGACTTCATGTTTCAATCAATACTTATTATTAAAGCCTCATTAGGTTAAACATGGTTCATTTGGAGACCCTTTTATATAGGAGAAAAAATGATCATTTTTACTCAATTTGCCTTAAAATCACTGTGTAGGAGGATGCATACATAATCCCAATTGTTAAGGATAATAGTTATATGGTGTTCAGTCCACATAACAGTTACGGGCTTCCCTGACATAAAATTATTTCTGCACTAAGAAAACTTCTTTGAAGTATCTAAACAAGGTAGATGGAGACTTCTCCTCAGTTGGGAGTTTTTCCTTTTAACCTATCATTGACCTTTTCCAAATTTTAGGATTTGAGCGACTGGGAAGATGAGGTGTTATCAGTGGCTCTAGCCCTTCCCCGCACTTATTTTTCAGAGTTGTGGGTAGGAATTGGACCACACAAAAGATTTGAGGGGTACTACTGGATCAAGAATATCTTTGGTGCCAGAATGTGAACATGCATATCTTAGTTTTTAACCATAACTTACTAATTTAAGATACTTTTTTTTTTCAAGAAGGGCATAAGTTAGGTAGAGAAAAAAGGTAGAGCCAGTAGCAACATTCCTCGTACTCCTCACAATTAGCAGGGTGGTAGAGATGAATTTACTTGAACATCGCTTTTAGTTCATGTAATGTAAAATAAAAATAGAGCATACAAATATTTGGGGGGATCATAGAGCAGGGGTGGGTGAGGCCTAACTTGAGTCACTGCCCTGGGCAGCGCAGAAAGTTAATAACGGGCAGTAATCTCAGAGTGGACCCCTGGACAGTCCAGGCACAACATGAAGCTGATTTAGTAGAGCATGTGGATGACAAATGGTAACAAAACTAAATTTAGTCTTTCAAATATTTTCTCCTGATGATAGGTACTGGTCCTTCTCTGAGTTTCCTTATGCTCCTATTTAGAATATAGAAAAGGAGCTTGGTAGGCTCTAAATGTCGGTACCCCACAAAATCAATATCTTAATACCTATCCGGCAATGGAATAGTATTAAGAGATGGGGCCTTTGGGAAGTGATTAATTCATGAGAGCTCACTCTCATAAATGGGATTAATGCCCTTATAAAAGGGATTGAATAAAGCTACCTTGCCCTTCTGCCATTTGAGGACACAGCACCTTCTATGTGACGCAGAGAGCAAGTCTTCATCGGACACTGAATCTGCCTGAGCCTTGATCTTGGACTTCCTTGCCTCCAAAACTGTGAGAGATAAATTGCTACTATTTATAGATCACCCAGTCTAAGGTTTGTTTTTGTAATAGCCCGGATGGACGAAGACAGTGCCCAATGAAAATCTGCTGAATTAAGTAGGGTATAAGAAATTCCAGAAGAGGCTGGGTGTGGTGGCTCACATCTGTAATTCCAGCATTATGAGAGGTCAAGGCAGGCAGATCACTTCAGGCCAGGAGTTCGAGACCAGCCTAGCCAACATGGTGAAACCCTGTCTCTACTAAAACTACAAAAATTAGCTTGGTGTGGTGGCACACGCCTGTAATCCCAGCTAGTCGGGGGGCTGAGGGAGAGGAATAATTTGAACCCAGGAGGTGGAGGTTGCAGTGAGCCGAGATCATACCACTGCACTCCAGCCTGGGCAATAGAATGAGGGAGACTCCATCTCAAAAACAGAAACAAAACAAAAAGAAAAAAACAAAAAGAAATCCCAGAAGAGCTCACCTGCATGAGCCTAAGGTAAATAGAAAAGCAGAAAGTCGCAGGAGCTCTGGGACTCTTCCCCTGGCTTCCAGTACTCATCCAGCAGCCTTTGTGTGTTTTTATGTGGCAGTTCACATCATTTTATTGACAAGTGAGGCATTATGTAGGCATATGAGATACAAAGATGCAAAACCTAGTTTCTGTCCTCAAAAAAAGTATGACCCAGAACTTTGAATATGACTTCATATATACCATGCCAGAGTGATGCACAAAGATAGCAAAGACCAACTTGAGATTTTTAAGGAAGTTCTTTGGGAGAGAGGGTGAACAGAGCTGAATTTTGGAATTGATCTGGCAAAAAATGAGAAAACCACATTTTCGGAGATGAAACCATACAAAGCAAGGGAAGGGAATATGATACCACATGGTATAAGTGAGGAACACACTCAAGCAAGTGCAGATGATGAATGATGAGGGCTCAAGGCACTGGCAACAAGAATAGAGAAAGTGGCTCAGAAAAATTTAGAAGGTGAAGTTGGTAGTTTCTAAAAATTTAGAAGGTGAAGCATTAGTGGTTGGATATGAGGAGAAAAGAGAACTCTTAAGATATCTCAAGATTCTTGCTTTATAGATTGGGTAAAAGATGGCCTCATATAGTCAGAAAATACATGAAGACAAGAAGATTTAAGACAAAGATAAAACATGTTAAATGAATTACATTTGAGTGCTTATGGGACATTTATTTGGCTACAGAAAGCAAAACATTGGATATGTATCTCTAAAGTTTTAAATAAATATCAGTGCTTCAGATAAACTTTTGGAGATTTCAGTCATACTGATGGGAGTTAAAAACATGGGGGAGAGTGATTTCATTCAAAGAGATTTAGAATGAGAAGAGCAGTGGGCAAAGTGAGAACATCTCCATTTACGGGAGAGTGGCTGTAGTGTGAGAGGTCACACACTGGCTGCGAGTATAACTCATACA